>NT_187636.1:0-248807 GCF_000001405.40 Homo sapiens | reverse complement strand
GAATTCCCCATGAGTCCTGTGACCTCAGCCCACACGGGGACCTACAGGTGCTACGGCTCACTCAGCTCCGACCCCTACCTGCTGTCTCACCCCAGTGGCCCCGTGGAGCTCGTGGTCTCAGGTGAGGGCGCTGACCCTGTCCTCTCTGAGCTCAAAGGCTCAGCTCAGGCCCTGCCCCCAGCAGAGCTCTGGACACTAAGGAAAGAGGGGAGTGAAGGGAGAGGGTCCGCAGGGGAGGGTCCAGCCCATGGGAAGATGGAAATAGACAGGGACCTCCCACCCCTGGCTCCCACCCCTGAAGTCTCAGTAGAGTAAAGTGCAGGGAGGGCTGGGAGGAGACGGGGGGTGAACCTCAAAGGAGTTGAGATTAGACTGAGGGTGGAAGACGGAGGCCCCACCTGCTCCCATCCTGGTGTCTCCACCTCAGAATCAGAGCCTCTGTGTCCCAGTCCCCAACAGACGCCCTCCTGGAGAGAGAAGCATCCAGGCTGCCGGTGCCACCTGCATCCACCCCCGACCCCCCCCCACCCCGCCCCACTTCCTGCTTTCCCCTGCAGCCTCCCCAGCACTCAGCGCACACCTGAGCCTCACAGGGACTTGCACGTGCTCCCGCAGCAGCTCAGGGAATGTGCACCGCTCCTCTTCTGCGCCGTTGACATTTTTTATTTGGGTTTTTAAAATCTCATATTGGCCTTTTTGTCCAAGCTGGTGAAAGTAGATTTGCAGCATCACCTATTTTTATTCTCACCCGGTTTCGTAATAGCCCTGATCTCACGTGCTCCCTGAGGTTTTGTAAACTTCAGGTAGAAATGTGGACTTCCTTCGTTCTGGACATTTGCTATGGAGGGGGTAGGGCTTATCTTTTCAGAAAAAGTCAAATGACTGGTACCACTCCTTGAAACCCTACAGCACTTTCCAGACCTCAGAGGGAGGGAGAGAGAGGCAGAGACAGAGACAGAGAGACAGAGAGAGAGATATTGGGGCCGCTCTTTCCTGGCCGGTTCATCCTGGCCTATTCTCAATCCACCAAGGCCCCGAAGCTCATCTCCCCTCCTCCTCTGCCTCCTCCTCCACCCTGTAGACAAGCGGCCATTCCTTTCTGAAGAACAGGCTGAGACCTTTCTGGGACCTGCTCTTTCTGGAGCCTCTGTTGCTCCCTGTCTGGGTCTCCACACGCCTCCTTCCTGGCCCTTTTTCCTATTGAGGAATCAGCTTCAATGTCACCTCCAAGTGTGACCTTCACTGACGACACAGCTCAGCCCAGTCCTGCCTGCTTCTCATTTATGTCAAGTAATTAACCAACCTACACCATGCGGCTGAATTCCTTCTCTCTCTCTTCCACTCTCTGCATATACGTGTGTGTGTGTGTGTGCGCGTGTGTGGTCACACCAACATCTTACGTGACATTGAAACCTAGTTATCCGTATATCTATACAAATAATATATATTCACACATAAATATAGGTCTCTACCAATATATCTAAAACCATTGCTACGACTAGTAAATTTCCACTGCTGTGTTTCTATATGTTTGCTGTTTGTCTCCAGGTGAACCCACACTTCAAGAAGGCAGAGATAGTTTTTAAGGCCCACTATATATATAAAACAGATATATATTTGTGTTTGTGTTTTTCTGTGTGTGTATCACATTCTACCTGTTGCTGCCTATACGAATAATTAGCTACCTAGAGATTAAATGGACAATGAAACTCCAGGTGAAGTGGCTGAGGGCATGAAGGGGAGGCAGCCCCAGAATTTCACCCCTTTGTGCTTCTGACATTGAGGCTCCCCTGATGACTAACCCTCATCCACGGAGCCTGGGTCCTCAGCTGGTGGATCCGTGAAACTCTCATCTCCGGGGGAGTTGGCTCATGTTCTCCTGTGTCCCAGGCTGCACAGAGAGCACACAGGCCTTAGTGACCTCTGTACTGGGGACCACTTTCCTTGCAGATCCTGAGCTCTCAGGATGCAGGAAAACTCTCTCCCAGATGACTCAGGAGCAATGTTTAAATCCATAGAACACAGGAAAACTGAAATCGTTCAATGAGGAGACTAGAGGGAATCCTGCTAGCGGAGGAAGAGGTTTTTTTTTTTTTTTTTTAGAAATTCTGTAAAAGTCACATCATGAGACATTAAGTAATAAAAAAAAAATTGCAGAGCCCAGGTGAGAGGCTGGGCTCAGGTCTCTTTTTCTCTGTTTTGATTCTCTGGAGCAGCTGATACCCTCAGCCCATCACAAAACAAGTCTGACTCTGAGACTGGTATGTGAGGAGATACTCTCAGTGATGGGGCTGGCACTGAGGGTTGGGTCCTGTGAAGGGGAGGTGGGTGCCCTGGGTGGACAATCTGATCCACCCTGACCTCTGTGACCTCTTTGTCCACCATCCCCAGCCTCACACCTTCAGGATTACGCAGTGGAGAATCTCATCCACATGGGCGTGGCTGGCTTGATCCTGGTGGTCCTCGGGATTCTGTCATTTGAGGCTTGGCACAGCCAGAGAAGCTTCCCAAGATGCAGCCGGGAGGTGAACAGCAGAGAGGATAATGTACTTTATAGAGTCGTGAAGCCTCAGGAACAGATCTGATGATCCCAGGAGGTTCTGGAAGAAAATCTAGGGCCGATGCTATCTGGACTGTCTGCTGGTCATTTCCAGAGGAAGGAATCAATGTCCGAGTGCAGGGACATTTTCTGGGGTGATCCATGGAGAACCATTAAAATGTGATACCTTTCCTCTCCATTAATGTTGACTTTCCTTGGTTGGATCTGCCTCTTTTCCCACACTTAGACATGAGGCTCCATCCCACATGGCAGCGTTGGGTCCACACCTCTGCACACCTGCATGCTCTGGTCCATGGCGTGTCACACAGTCCTCTTCATTTCTCATTGCCACACTTCCTGGTGTACTTTACTGGGTCTTCATGTCTTCAGTTCAGAGTTCCGCACCTGGTTTAGGAACTAATTCAACGGGAGAAGATCAGAGTCCGACCAGGAAAAGATAAATGCACCGTGATGCCCTCACCTCCTGTGTGGACCCTATGAGCTCTTCCCTCCTTATCAGATGCTATCTGTGTAGTTTCTCCTGAAATATCACCACCTGGAATCAACACACTGGCATTTGAAGTCACGACCCAATGGTATGCTAATTCTGAAAAAGACATTTTTTGAAATGCTATGATTAGTGGCATTTACCAATTTCCTTGACGTAAATTCTTTTTTCATGGCCATAATCAAGATGCCAACGAGACATCCCTGAATGCAGGGTTGGGAAGCGTTGGACAGACTTGTCTTCACTCATAAGCACCAGGCATCTGATAGCTCACGTATACATCTTATTACCTTCCATTTTAGAGTGAATAATCATTTCTACTTCAGTATTTTGGCACAGGTAAAAGCAGTCCCATTACTGCGCGTATACCCAAAGGAATATAAATCATTCTATTGCAAAGATACATGCACACATGTGTTCATCGCAGCACTATTCACAATAGCAAAGACATAGAATCAACCCAAATGCCCATCAATGATAGACTGGATAAAGAAAATGTGAGACATATACACCACGGAATACTATGAAGCCATAAAAAGAAACAAGATCATGTCCTTTGCAGGGACATGGATGGAGCTGGAAACCATTATCCTCAGGAAACTAACACAGGAACAGGAAATCAAACGCTGCATGTTCTCACTTACAAGTGGGTGCTGAACAATGAGAATGCGTGAACACAGGGAGGGGAACAACACACACTGGGGCCTGTCGGGGGGGGGGTGGGGTAGGGGTAGGGAGAGCATTAGGAAAAATAGCTAATGTATGCTGGGCTTAATACCTAGGTGATGGGTTGACAGGTGCAGGAAACCACCATGGCGCACATTGACCTATGCAATAAGCCCACACATTCTGCACATGTACCCCGGAACTTAAAATAAAAATAAAAATTAAAATTAAATTATGACACCATGATCCTAGCATATCCAAAAAAGACAAAAATGCCAATATCAAATGTCGGAGAAAATAGGGCTGAATTAAAAATCCAATACAACGCCGGGCGCAGTGGCTCACGCCTGTAATCCCAGCACTTTGGGAGGCCAAGGTGGGTGGATCACTTGAAGTCAGGAGTTTGAGACCAGCCTGGCCAAACGTGGTGAAACCCTGCCTCTACTAAAAATACAAAAATTAGCCGGGTGTGGTGGCACTCGCCTGTAGTCCTAGCTACTAGGGAGGCTGAGGCAGGAGAATCACTTGAACCCGGGAGGCGGAGGTTGCAATGAGCTGAGATCATGCCACTGAACTCCAGCCTGGGTGACAGAGCGAGACTCCGTCTCAAAAAAAAAAACAAAAAAAAAAAACCCTCAAAAGCTCAGGCAGCAAAAGCAAAAATAGGCAAATGAGATCATAGCAAACTGCAAACCTTCTGCACAATCAAGGAAACAAACAGCAGAGTGAAGAGACCACCTACAGAATGGGAAAGAATATTTGCAAGCAAGAGATTAATCTCCAGAAAATACAAGGAGCTCAAACAATGCAGAGGTTTTGAAGGATGGTGATGAGAAGGTTCTGCTACTTACAGAAAGGAAGTTTAGGAGAAACAAAACCACAAACCTAGGTGGTGGGATGGCTTGATCTGCTTCTGTCTGTGACTCACTTAACAGTCTTAAACACATCTCCCTAAGCCTCCTTCCCCCGGTGGGATTCCTGGGTCTTGTGAGGACCTCATCGGTCCCTCTGGTAAACCCAGGCACAGAGTGGAGCAGCTCTTGTTTTCTCAGGATCTTCCCCTTCACATACAATTAACGCACCCACACGATGCTACTCTTAGAACCCTTCAAATAAATGTTTCCCGGTTCATTCACTACCAGAATCCAAGCTCAGCTTGTTCCCCAGCTTAGGACTGAGTGGTATCTTGGAGGTAGTTTCCACCATAGCCCCCTTCCTCTGCTATAAGGCTCAGTGACACACCAGAGACACCCCCTCCAGCCAGGCTCCTGGAAGGTCTGGATGAAGACTGGGATGCTGAGGCATTGCTCAGCAATGTGGCTTAACTCAAACTTCTATGTGAAACTTCCAACCACTTTCAGCAAGGGGTCACTTCCAGCGTCTTGGGGTGTGAGGGCACTTTGGTTGGTCCCTGCAATATCAGACCCTATAAAGATCCTACAAACATGTTGCAGACTCTTTGAAGATTCTGGCACTTTCAGACATGCTGTTGGGAAATGGTGACACCCATAACCTTCTAGTTCCAGGACAGGGAGCCTTAGCCCAGGGCTATGTTTTCTGAGGGTCCTCAAAGTAAACAGTTCTATGTGCCAGGAGAACCCTAAATCTCATATGGTTCTAAGGGCAGAAAGCCACACACGCACCGGCAAAAAGCAAGAGATTCAAGGAAAAGCTGAGCAAAGACAGACAGGAAAACACACACATGATGAGCCAGCTTGTAGAGCTAGAACTGAGATGGAGAGAGGCACGAGTGGGTAACAGAGTGTGCTCCCCAGAACAGGTGGAGAGAATGCCTTTTTCATGCCCTGAGGATAGGCTGGGTAAGGCTTGTGCTCGACAGTCAAGGACTATTTTTTTCCCCAGGCGTCTACAAGAGACCTTCCTTCTCAGCTCAACTGTGCCCTGCAGTAAGTAATGATGGAGAGAATGTGACTTTGCTCTGCAGCTCTGGAAGCTCATTTGACCTGTGCCTTCTAACGAGGAAGGTAAGGCCCCTGGACACTGGCTCACTGGGGTGCAGAGACAGAGTGGGGCATTCAGGCCAACTTCTCTCTGGGTCTTGGGGCTGGTGATGGGACCTCTAGATGCTGCAGCTCTCTGTCGATGGCTCTGCCTGTGAGTGATCAGCCCTAGATGACCACTGTTACTGGGGGTAGCCCATGCCTGCTGCATGCCCTGTGAAACACTAAATCATATAGCCACGTCTGAGGGACAGCCTGCTGGAGACATGGGAATCTTAGGGATTCCAGACAAAATGAAGCAATGAGAAACACAAAGAGGAAAAGAGAGGTTGAGTATGACAGTGGTGTCAGGGTGTAGGGTGGTAGACAGGGCAGCTCCACACTCTCCACTGCTTCCTGTCTGGAGGCCCACTTTGGGGTCCTACTTATCCAGGTGAGTGAAGGAAGAGGTCAGGACAAACACAGGAGGTGAAGCCAGATACAGTGTGGGGAGATAAGCAGTGGCCTCAGCCTCTAGCCCTTTTCCATCTTCCAGAAGCCCCTCCTGAGCTCTCATCACAGACAGATTTCCCATTTGGAAACCCAGATATTTATCATGCCGGGGGGGGGAGGCAATGTCTCTTGATTATGGGGACTTTCCATCACCAGGCACCTGCTAGTCCTCTCTATACCTTCCCTTCAGGAAAGGAATTGTCCCTCATGGGATTCCAGGGAAGAGACCCCAGGACCCCTATCAGTCACTAGGGAGATGACAGAGTAGAGGAAGTCAGGGGACCAACCCTCCACAGAGAATGGTCCTACTTCAGTGGGGTGAGGGAAACTCTCACTCATCCATTTGCTGTCCTGTTACCTCGGAACCCTAAGAGAACTTGTTAGTCACACACAGAATCTACCCCTGAATGTGGTGTGCAAAGTGGGGCTCTTAGCCTCCAGTGTGAAGTCCCTGGGAAGATGGAATGTCCCTGTGTGAGTGAAGGCTGTGCCACCGCCCAGCTATGTGGCCTTGGGCTAGGCAACCCCTCCCAGGTCCCCAGTTCCCCATCTGCATCGGAGACTGTGGCCAGTGCGGGAATCCACAAGGCCCTTCAGCCTCCAAAGCTCTGGGACAGAGGCCTCGTCCACAGGGAGGAAGGGGTCAGAGTGACCTGAGTCCCTACTCAGGAGCGAGTCTAATCCACTCTCCATCGGGGCCTGTGGGGAAGGGAAGATGAAGAAACGGAGCCTGCACCTGGCTATGTGGGCGCAGTAGATTAAGGGGAGGATGAGGGTTCCTGAGAGTGTGTCATGTGGCAGAGACCCTGCAGCACACTCAGGAAGGGCTCTGGAAGGATCCAAGGAAATTTTCCAAGAAGAGGGCAGAGTAAGTGACAGAGACCCTCAACCATGGATTTCACTGAGGTGCCCATGATGACATAGGGAGAACGGGGGTGTCTGGGCAGGAAGAATATCGTCAGGGTGAAATGAATGGTGATGAGCTTCGTGTCAGAGCTCCTGTGGAGGGAGGGGCCTGGCCCACATGAAAAGGTCTCTGATCCTACCCCAGCCCCCAGCCCCTGTTCTCCAGGATGACACTGTGGGAATTCCATCAGGAGGGGTGTGATAGGGCTGGTCTTCCTGGCTCGATTCACAACACTGGCTGGGGACTGGGAACCCATGGGGAGCCACAGGTGGAAAGGGAGGAGCCTCAGTGAACCCAGCAGGAACAAACATAGGGTCTGACATGATGGAACTCACTTCCTGGAGGCCAAGAAAGACACTTGCGGGACAAAAGGGAAAGAGCGGTGGCTTGCTTAGTTCCATTCACTGACAACCCACAGGAGATGTCCAGTCCTTTTTTGATTTATTATTTTATTTTATTATATTTTATTTTATTTTATTTTATTTTCACATGGAGTTTTGCTCCTATTGGCCAGGCTGGAGTGCAATGGCACGATCTTGACTCACTGCAACCTCCACCTCTCAGGTTCAAGCGATTCTCCTGCCTCAGCCTCCTGCATAGCTGGGATTACAGGCGACTGCCACCACAGCCAGGTAATGTTTGTATTTTTAGTAGAGATGAGGTTTTGCCATCTTGGCCAGGCTGGTCTCAAACTCCTGATCTCATGTGATCCGCCTGTATCAGACTGCCAAAGTGTTGGGATTACAGGCGTGAGCCACCACACCCAGCCTTTTGTATTTTTAGTAGAGATGGGGTTTCACCATGTTGGTCAGGCTGGTCTTAAACTCCTGACCTCAGGTGATCCATCCACCTCGGCCACCCAAAGTGCTGGGAGTACAGATGTTAGCCACCGTACCCAGCGAGAGTTTCAGTGCTCTATCGGATTCCCTGCCTACTCCATGTTGCATGTAATGTTCCACCTCAGGGATGTTTCTCTCCTTTCTGTCTCCTTCCTCTTCTCCTTCTCCTTTTTTCTTTCTAATTTTTATTTTTTTGAGACAGAGCCTTGCTCTGTTACCCAGGCTAGAGTACAGTGGCACGATCCCAGCTCACTGCAACCTCTGCCTCCTGGGTTCAAGAGATTCTCCTGACTCAGCCTCTCAAGTAGCTGGGATTACAGGCACCCGCCATCACACCCAGCTAGTTTTTGTATTTTTAGTAGAGACGAGGTTTCACCATGTTGGCCAGACTGGTCTTGAACTCCTGCCCTCAGGTAATCCACCCGCCTGTGGCCCCCCAAAGTGCTGGGATTACAGGCGTGAGTCACCACTCCCAGCCCTGAATGATCTTTCCTCTTTAGTGTGTTCTCACAACCACCTCTCACTGAGCTTTCTTGTTTTTTGTTTTTGTTTTTGTTTTTGTTTTTGTTTTTGGCAGAGTCTGGCTTTGTTGCCTATGCTGGAGTGCAGTGGTGCAATCTCAGCTCACTGCAACCTCCGTCTCCTGGGTTCAAGCGATTCTCCCACCTCAGCCTCCTGAGTAGCTGGGATTACAGGCACCCACCACCACACCCAGCTAATTTTTGCATTTTTAGTAGACACAGGGTTTCACCATGTTGGTCAGGCTGGTCTCGAACTCCTGACCTTGTGATCTGCCAGCCTCAGCCTCCCAAAGTGCTGGAATTACAGGCATGAGCCACCACTCCCAGCCCTGGATTATCTTTCCTCTTTAGTGTGTTCTCACAACTACCTCTCACTGCTGGGTTTTCTCTCTTTCTTTTTTTTTTTTTTTTTTTTTTTTTTTGAGACAGTCCGGCTTTGTTGCCCAGGCTGGAGTGCAGTGGCGCGATCTCGGCTCACTGCAAGCTCCACCTCCCAGGTTCAAGCGATTCTCCCACCTCAGCCTCCCTAGTAGCTGGGATTACAGGCGCATGCCAGCACACCCAGCTAGTTTTTGTATTTTTAGTAGAGACAGGGGTTTCACCATGTTGGTCAGGCTGGTCTTGAACTCCTGACCTTGTGATCTTCCTGCCTCGGCCTCCCAAAGTGCTGGGATTACAGGTGTAAGCCACTGCACCCAGCCAGCTTTCTCATTCTTATCCCTTAGTTCTCTGCCAGGGAATAAGATAGAAACCATTCCCTCAACCACATTCTAGTCATGGTCCCTATTCTCATGTTTCCACTTCTCTCTCTTTGGTAATAAATCAATTAATTGAGAAACAAGTAGCTAAATGTTCATCTTCTGCTAGTCTGCATCCCCTTATTTTCCCAGAGCCTCCCCTAATGAAACTGACTTTATTTACTGAACGCAGGAAATGGGTCTCTCCAGATCAGGATGACTTTCTGCTGGGAAATATTTGTCTTTGCATCAGTGGGGAAAAAGAAAGCCGATGTCATGAGTGGAGGCTCTGAGAAAATAAGGGCTGTGTTTTCAGTTTAGACCCAGCTAAGTTGGGAGCTGACATAGATATGATGTTGGGTCCACCCTCCACGGGCAGGTTTTCAGACAAAGGATCCCTGGCAATCAGGGGACACCTCAGGTCTGGGCTGAGATGTGTGCAGAGGGCCTGGGTCCTCCTGAGCCCCTGCACTGGGGGGGGAATAAGAGACAGGCCCAGCAAGGGGCTGTCCACTTCCTGTGGGTTCACAGCTGTGGGGACCCAGGCAGGCGGCAGCAGGCTCTGACTTAACCACATCCGTGCATCTGTCTGTCATGGAGGGCCATGTGGTCACCTGTCCCACAGCTGGAGCACGCAGAGCAGGCATCATGGTGTCCATCCTCACTGTTCTTCTGTGCCTCAGTCAGTGGTGGAGAGACGAGGGACAGGAGGGGCACTGGGCTGAGGTGGGGAGGGTCCCACAGCAGCCTTGTTCACCAGAGAGCCTCAGGGCTCCAGTGGCTACTGGTGCTCCAACAGGAAGGGAAGCAGCCACACCTCTGTGTTCCAAATCCCCCACAGGAAACTCTTCTCCATGGCTGAGTCTGGGCCAGAAAGCCCAAGCACTTGCAGGTGAGTCTCTGCTAACCTCCCATGCCTGACCTCACACTCAGCACCTGGACTCTCATCTCAGGGGCTTCTGAACTGAGGGTGAGAAAATCAAGAGGGTCTGTGACCTGAGCTGGGAATGAGGAGCGGGGGAGGTCTGTGGACCCCAGCCTGTGGTTTCTTCCAGGGACCCTCCCCAAACCCAGCCTCTGGGCTGAGCCAGGCTCTGTGATTACCTGGGAGAGCCCCATGACCCTCTGGTGCCAGGGGACCCTGGATACCCAGGGTTACTATCTCACCAAGGAAGGAAACCCCATGACCTGGTACCAACAGAGCCCACCAGAGCCCAGGAACAAGACCAACTTCTTCATCCCATCCATGAGAGAGCACCATGCAGGGAGATACCACTGTCACTATCTCAGCCCTGCAGGCTGGTCAGAGCGCAGCGAGCCCCTGGAGCTGGTGGTGACAGGTAAGAGGACACTCAGGGGTCCCAGCCCCAGGCTCTGCCTGCAGGAAGGGGGTCAGCTCTCAAGGGCATCTCCGTTCTAATAACTCAGCCCTGGGGGATGATGTGGGACGCGTGAGCCCCATTTAAGACAGTGTCTCCTTCTCTCCTAGGAGCCCACAGAAAACCCACTCTCTCAGCCCTGCCGAGCCCTGTGGTGACCTCAGGAGAGAACGTGACCATCCAGTGTAGCTCAAGGGTGGGATTTCACAGGTTCATTTTGATTGAGGAAGGAGAAAACAAGCTCTCCTGGATGCTGGACTCACAGGAACTCTCCAAGGGGCTGTCCCTTGTCCCTGGCCCTGTTCCCTGTGGGCCGTGTGGCTGCCAGTCACCGGTGGATGTTCAGATGCTATGGGCATTACACGAACTTCCCCTGGGTGTGGTCGGAACCCAGTGATACCATGGAGATCCTGGTCTTAGGTATGGATGTCTTCCTCCTTGCCCTATTTATTTTTGAGAACTTACTCTCACGGAGCCCCATGTAGGAGGGTGGAACAAGGGAAGTTTGGGACTCCTGAGCCCAGAGACACTGAGTGTGAGAGACAGTGAGACCTGCAGGGCCAGGAGGGGAGAAGGAAGGGGTGTGGGAGGAACCAGCCCTCCTAGTCCCGACTCTTCTTTCCCTCCAGGCGTGTCTAGGAAGCCCTCCCTCCTGACCCTGCAGGGCCCTGTCGTGGCCCCTGGGGAGAATCTGACCCTCCAGTGTGGCTCTGATGTCGGCTATGACAAATTCACTCTGTACAAGGAGGGGGGACATGACCTCGTCCAGGGCTCTGGCCGGCAGCCCCAGGCTGGGCTCTCCCAGGCCAACTTCACCCTGGGCCCTGTGAGGGTCTCCCACGGGGGCCAGTACAGATGCTACGGTGCACACAACCTCTCCTCCGAGTGGTCGGCCCCCAGTGACCCCCTGAGCATCCTGATCGCAGGTGAGGAGCCCAGCAGGTTCAGTCAGGGACCCAGGCTCCGCACAGGCCCTGCTGGGGGAGCCCAGGTGGTGATGGCCGGGATGAGGGGTGGGGGTCCTAAGGGACGGAGAGACAGACAGAGACAGGGGATGGGCGGGGAGGGGGAGACTCAGAGAAAACAGAGACAGAGACACTGAGGGTCCCAGGGAGAGGCCTGGGGAGGTGTCAGCTCAGAACGAGGTGGGGCAGCCCCTCACCCATCCTTCTTCTCTCCAGGACAGATCCGTGGCAGACCCTCCCTCTCGG
Source organism: Homo sapiens (assembly GCF_000001405.40). Taxonomy (NCBI): domain Eukaryota; kingdom Metazoa; phylum Chordata; class Mammalia; order Primates; family Hominidae; genus Homo; species Homo sapiens. The sequence goes on along the minus strand of NT_187636.1, from coordinate 237,047 downwards.
TGCAGCCGGGCCCCACGGTGGCCTCAGGAGAGAACGTGACCCTGCTGTGTCAGTCACGGGAGCAGTTGGACACTTTCCTTCTGACCAAGGAGGGGGCAGCCCATCACCCACTGCGTCTGAGATCAGAGCACCAAGCTCAGCAGCACCAGGCTGAATTCCCCATGAGTCCTGTGACCTCAGCCCACGCGGGGACCTACAGGTGCTACAGCTCACGCAGATTCTTCCCCTACCTGCTGTCTCACCCCAGTGACCCCCTGGAGCTCGTGGTCTCAGGTGAGGCCGCTGACCCTGTCCTCTCTGAGCTCAAACCTCAGCTCAGGCCCTGCCCCCAGGAGAGCTCAGGACGCTAAGGAAAGAGGGGAGTAAAGGGGGAGGGTCGGCAGGGGAGGGCCCAGCCCATGAGAGGGTGGAAATAGTCAGGGACCTCCTAATCCTGGGCTCCCACCCCAGAGACCTCAGATGGGGCTAAAGGCCAGGGAGGGCTGAAATGAGATATGGAGAAACCTTGGAGGAATCATGCTTAGGCTGAGGGTAGAAGATGGAGGCCCCACCCACTCCCCACCTGGGCTCCCCTGGCGGCCCCAAAATACTCAGTGCATACCTGAGACGAAGGGGAGATCATGCACCTGCTCACTGCAGCAATGCAGGCAAATTATTCAACAGCAAACCTCGTGTGCAATTCCTTTCTGTCCTTTATTTTTTATGTCCACATATCTAGTTTCTCTTTCTGTTTCTGAAGATTTCAAAGCAATGCTGGCATTTATAATTTACACATTTAATTTGTTAGGTAGCGTTATGATGTAAAATAACTGTGCTCTGATTTTCTTTGGGATTAAATTAAATATGTGCATTCATGATGGAGAATAACTTCTCATTAATAATGTCTTTGTATCCAATACATTTAAAATTAAACTTTATACAGTTAGCAGATGCTTGAAGTTGTATTCATAAAAATTGTGGACATTGTGAATTTTAAGCATTGTTTTACTACTTGAATAATTTGAAAGTCTTTGATTCCTTTCTATTTTCTAAAATTAGTTACGTATGGATGAGAAAGCTATTGGTTTGGGTATGCTAATTTTAGTTCCTATTAACTTACCACAGACACACTCCCTTTCAATCCTTTCCGAAATGATCTCTTCTGATTTATTGATAATAATTACATTAACCACAAGAAAATGGAGGACAAACTTGTTTGTTTCTAAATTATATAATACTCTTCTCACTTCAAATATATATGTATGTGTTTATATATACTCACACACTATTATATATCTTATAATATATATTATGTATTATATATTTATATATACACTATTATATATCTTATATATTATGTATTATATATTTATATATACCCACACATTATTATATCTTATAATATATATTATGTATTATATATTTATATATACCCACACATTATTATATCTTATAATATATATTATGTATTATATATTTATATATGCACTATTATATATCTTATATATTATGTATTATATATTTATATTACCCACACATTATTATATCTTATAATATATATTATGTATTATATATTTATATATACACACACTATTATATATCTTATTATATATTATGTATTATATATTTATATATACTATTATATATCTTATAATATATAATGTATTATATATTTATATATACACACACTATTATATATCTTATATATTATGTATTATATATTTATATATACATACTATTATATATCTTATAATATATTATGTATTATATATTTATATATATACACTATTATATATCTTATTATATATTATATATTTATATATGCACACACTATTACATATCTTATTATATATTTATATGTATACACACACTATTATATATCTTATTATATATTATGTACTATATATTTATATATACTATTATATATCTTATAATATATAATGTATTATATATTTATATATACACACACTATTATATATCTTATATATTATGTATTATATATTTATATATACATACTATTATATATCTTATAATATATTATGTATTATATATTTATATATATACACTATTATATATCTTATTATATATTATATATTTATATATGCACACACTATTACATATCTTATTATATATTTATATGTATACACACACTATTATATATCTTATTATATATTATGTACTATATATTTATATATACTATTATATATCTTATAATATATAATGTATTATATATTTATATATACACACACTATTATATATCTTATATATTATGTATTATATATTTATATATACATACTATTATATATCTTATAATATATTATGTATTATATATTTATATATACACACTATTATATATCTTATTATATATTATATATTTATATATGCACACACTATTACATATCTTATTATATATTTATATGTATACACACACTATTATATATCTTATATATTATATATTTATATATACTCACACTATATCTTATAATACATATTATGCATACACATATGCATAATACATATTATCTATACACATATGCATAATACATATTATGTATACACATATGCATAACACATATTATGTATACACACATATTTACACCTATGCATATATGTATGTATGTATGCGAATGTACCTCTGCCACGGCAGGGAAAGGTTCTATCACACAACTACAGAGCAGTTAGGAGAAGTGTAGACACAAAGGAATGCAGCAACTGAGGGACATGTTGGCTTAAGTCTCTTCAACTCCTCACACACCTCCCCCTTTTTTGGTTGATTCTCAGGAGCAGCTGAGACCCTCAGCCCATCGCAAAACAAGACAGACTCCAAGACTGGTGTGTAAGGAGATGCTCTCGGTTATGGGGCTGGCACAGAGGGTCAGGTCCTGTGAAGGGGAGGTGGGTGCCCTGGGTGGACATCCAGGGGTCCCGGGTGATGTTGATCTGCCCTGACCTCTGAGACCTCTTGGTCCACCATCCCCAGCCTCACACCCCCAGGATTACACAGTGGAGAATCTCATCCGCGTGGCTGTGGCTGGCTTGGTCCTGGTGGTCCTCGGGATTCTGCTGCTTTAGGACTGGCACAGCTAGAGAAGTCCCCAAGATGCAGCAAGGAGGTAAATACATGAGAGAACAATGCACCCTTCAGAGTGCCAGAGCCTTGGCAATGAATCTGATAGTCCTAGGAGGTTCTGGAAGAAAGTCTGGACCATCATTCGGGAAACCGTCTACTGAGAAAGTCGAGAAGGGGAGGCTTGGGTCAGGTTCAGGAAGATGTCTGGGTGCCTGTAGAGAACGCTTCCTCCATTAAACTTCCATTAAATGGCAGTGCTTTCAGTCCTGCTGTTGTGGATCCTCCGTGTCTGCCCCTCCCTTCCTTTCGCTCTCTGTGATGTGAAGGCACGTCCCCCATGGTGGGTTTGCATCCACACCCCTGCGATCACGTGCTCTGGTCCACTGTCATGTAATACATTTGTCTTTGTTTCCAACTACCGCATTCTCTAAAGTGAACTATTGATTCTCCATCTTTTCAGTTCTGAGCATAGATCTGGATTAAATAACTGGAATAGGTGGGCAGATTTGTATTTGGGACTTTGAAACATGAGTCTGAGGCCAGGCACAGTGGCTCACACCTGTAATCCCAGCACTTTGGGAGGCTGAGGTGGGCGGATCACTTGAGGTCAGAAGTTCGAGACCAACCTGGCCAACATGGTGAAACCCTGTCTCTACTAAAAGATACAAAAATTAGCTGGGTGTGGCAGTGAGCACCTGTAATCCCAGCTGCTCAGGAAGCTGAGGCGGGAGAATAGCTTGAACCCGGGAGGCGGAGGTTGCAGTGAGCCAAGATCTTGCCACTGCACTCCAGCCTGGGCAACAGAGCAAGACTCCATCTCCAAAAAAAAAAAAAAAAAGGGAAATATGAGTCTGAAATGATGCCCTAGCACCCTCTCTGGACCCTGAATTCCCTTCACTCTTCATCGGATGATACCTGTGTACTTTGTCCAGAAATATCATCTCTCAGAATGAGCACACTAACGCTCGAAGGCTCAGCCTCATGGTATTCTGTTAAACTGGCTCTCTGAAAAAATTATTTTCTTAAGAAAACTCTGAACATATAAAGCCCCAGATTTATGGTATTTGCTGATTAGTGTGGTATAAATACGTCCTTTATGGCCAACTTCAGGGTGCCCATATGACGCCATTGAATGCACAGTTGGGAAGTAGTCAAAAGAATTGTCGTTCACACGAGTATGAACCAGTTGTAAAGTTTATTTAAAGGTTATAATAATTTCTGCTTCATTCTTATGGTGTAGTTTCAGTAAAATTGTAATGTCAAAAATCATAGCACAATGGAGGGAAAAGAAAAAAATAGGCCGGGTGTGGTGGCTCATGCCTGTAATCCCAACACTTTGGGAGGCCGAGGCAGGAGGATCACCTGAGGTCAGGAGTTCGAGACCAGCCTGGCCAACATGGTGAAACGCTGTCTCTACTAAAAATACAAAAATTAGCCAGACATGGTGGCGCCTGCCTGTAATCCCAGCTACTTGGGAGGCCAAGGCACGAGAATCGCATGAACCCAGGAGGCGGAGGTTGCAGTGAGCCGAGATCACTACAGCCTGGGTGATAGAGCAAGACTCAGTCTCAAGAAAAGAAAAAAGTAGCAAAATCATTTTTTGGAAAGAATATTGAACATGTAGAATTTTAGTACATTAATAGTAAGAGTACAAATTGCTTTAATCAATTAAGGAAGTGTATTGGAATTATCTAGTTAAAAAGAGGAGGCACATGGCTGTGACCCTTCTTAATTATGTACTTAATTATGTACCCTAGAGATAAATGTCTACTTATGTGTCATGATACACTCACAACTGTTATAGGAATGCTGTTCCTATTAGCCAAAGCTATAAAATACCAAAGTCCACCTACGAAAAAAATAAACATAGTGTGGTAAATAGACTCAGTGGAATATTACAAGGTAGTAAAATGCATAAATGAAAATAACAAACAGCACCATACTTCAATTTTCAAGCATAAAGTCAAGTAAATGAAGTATTATTTGAAAATGTGTGCATGGTTATTTCATTACATAAAGGTCAAAAGGAGGGTACATTTATTATTTAGGAAAACACACCTAAGATATCTTTGTAAAATCTGTAAAATCAATAGTACTGTTTCCCCTCTTTCATTCCTTATCTTGAAAATGCTTGTCTCTTTTTCTGCCATGGCTTTCTACCTTGCTTGATATATTACAATTTTGTAACCTGCTTATTTCATCATATGTCATAAGTTCACATGTATATCCCATGAATTATTGAGGGTCTTATTCATTTCAAGTGGCATTTAGGTTTTTAAAAATATCTTTTGGCGACCAGGTGCAGTGGCTCATGCCTGTAATCCCAGCACTTTGGGAAGCCAAGGCAGGTGGATCACGAGTTCAAGAGACAGAGATCATCCTGGCGAACATGGTGAAACCCCGTCTCTACTAAAAATACAAAAAAAAAAAAAAAAATAGCTGGGCATGGTAGAGGGTGCCTGTAGTCCCAGCTTCTCAGGAGGCTGAGGCGGGAGAATGGCATGAACCCGAGAGACGGAGGTTGCAGTGAGCCGAGATCGTGCCACTGCACTCCAGCCTGGCAACAGAGTGAGACTCTGTCTCAAAAAAAAAAAAAAAAGAAAGAAAGAAAGGAAGAAAAAAAAATCTTCTGGCATTAACTATTAAGAAATTGCACTATAAAAAGAGAATATAATGCATAAGACGGCAATTTGAAAAGATTCAGATATAATTTTTTCTTATCTAGTAAATACTTAGTAATTTGTCTAATGCATGCCTTAAATACATACCACTTTATGCAGAGGTTGCCATGAGCCGAGATCGCGCCGTTGCACTCTAGCCTGGGTGGCAGAGCAAGACTCCATCTCAAAAAAAAAAAAGAAAATCTCACAGAAGGAGACCCAGAGCTTCCAGCCTCGCCCAGAGTCTTGGCTCACTCCCTGTGTGTGTGGACCCTAGGGAGCCTCTTCTGTTCCCCACAGAGGTGGAAACTTCCTCCTTAATAACCCCTTGATGGTCCCAGGCACTGGTGACCACTGAGCTTTGCTCTCTCTTTTTTCTTATGGTTCCCTGTCTACTTCCAGGGCTATCACTTTACTTTTTGTGCATTAGACCATGAATAATGTTTTAGAAACATTCTATCAAATTTCTCAGTGCTAGGAACAACTGAGGTTTTTGATTGGGTGCCTCAAATGTCTACCCTTACTGTGGAGTCCGACAACAGGATTCTAACAAGTCCCAACCCCTTCATGCCTTAACCTGGTCTGGAAATAAATTATGTTTAAGCCATCCCATACCCCAGCCACATCAAGCCCCACAACCACTCTGAGAAGTGAGATTTATAGCAAAATGCTCCAAACAAGGTAACTAAGGTTCAGACAAGGGATGTTAATGTGTCCATTTACATAAACAAAAAATGGTAGATGATCAGCTTTCCCTTTGAAATCAGAGTACTAATCTGACTCATTGTTCCCTGAATTTTAGAGGCAGGACCTCAGGAGGAGCTAAGAATCCTACCCCAGGAAAATTACCAATATCAGAAAGGAAACAATGACATCAGTACAGATCCTACAGAATTCAAAAGATTCTAAGTGGACATTATGAAGACATTATTCAGCTTAGATGAAGTGGTCACATATCACAAGAAAACAAACTGTCTAAAACAATCTCTGAAATACCTAGACATTCCCTGAATCATTGAGTTATTAAATAAAATACATTTTAAAATTAAACTCTTTTCAGGAAATAAACTTCAATGTCCCCTAGTGCACTCTCCAAAACATGTAGATGGGAATAAATACTGTTCTGAAAGACATTTCCCTGGAATTACAACCATTCAATATATTTTAAAAGGCAATCATAAAAATATAAAAAGGATATATCAGGAGAAGAAATGTAAATGGCCTAAATTCCCCACATAAAAGGCATAGAGTGGCAACGTGGATAAAAAGCCAAGAGCCAACTGCCTGCTGTCTTCAAGAGACCCATCTCACATGTAATGACACCCACAGGCTCAAAGTAAAAGGATGAAGAAATATTTACTAGGCAACCAGGAAACAAAAAAAAGGAAGGCATTCCTATTCTTATATCACATGAAACACACTTTAAATCAACAGCAATCAGGAAGGACAAAGAAGGGCATTACAAAATGATAAAGGGTTCAATTTGACAGAAGACTTAACTATTCTAAATATATATGCACCCAAATTTGGAGCACCCCGATTCATAAAACAAGTTATTCTTCACCTATGAAAAGAGTTAGACAGCCACACAATAATAGTAAGGGACTTCAGTATCCCACTAACAACGTCAGATGAATCACTAAAACAGAAAACTAACAAAGAAATTCTGGTCTTAAAGACAACACTTGACCAATTGGACCTCATAGACATCTACAGAGTACTCCACCCAACAACTGCAGAATATAGATTCTTCTTATCTGCACACACAAAAAACATATCATATTCTAAGACTGGCCACAAAGCAAGTCTCAATAAATTCAAAGAATCAAAATCATAACAAGGCACACAATAAAAATAGAAAAAAATACCAAGATGATCTCTCAAAACTACAGAAAAACATGGAAATTTAACAACTTGTTTCTGAATGAATATTAAGAGCCATCTATGACAAATCCACAGCCAACATCATATTGAATGGTCAAAAGCTGGAACTGTACCCCTTGAGAACTCTTGGGTGAACAATGAAATTAAAGCAGAAATCACAAAACATTATTTAAAATTAATAAAAATAGAAACAAACTTACCAAAACCTTTGGGATGCAGTTAAAGCAGTGATAAGAGGAAAATTTATAGCAATACATGCCTCATCAGAAGTTTAGAAAGATCTCAAATTAGTGACTTAACACTGCATCTAGAGGAACTATTAAAAAAAAGGAACAGTCCAAACCCAAGGCCAGCAAAAGATGAGAAATAACTAAAGTCAGAGAGAACTGAATAAATTGAGACCAAAAAGTCCATACAAGAGATAAATAAAACCAAGAGTTTTTCTTTGAAAAAAAATAAACAAAATTCATAGACTGTTAGCTAGATTAACAAAGAAAAAGAGAAAAGATCCAAATAAACACAAATAGAACTGACAAAACAATGTTACGAACAATCCCACAGAAATAGAAAAGATCGTCAAAGACTATTATGAACACCTCTATACAAACAAGCTAGAAAACCTAGAAGAAATGGATAAATTCCTGGTAACACAAAATTTATCATATTTCAACCAGGAAGAAAGTGAAAACCTGAACAGACCAATAACAAGTTCAGAAATTTAATCAGTAATAAAAACCCTACTAACTAAAAATAGCCCAGGACCAGATGGATTCACAGCCAAAATCCAACAGCCATACAAAGAAGAACTGATACCGATCTTACTGAAACTTTTGGAAAAAATCAAGGAGTGGGGGCTTCTTCCTAACTCATTCTATGAAGCCATCATCACCATGATACCAACATCTGTCAGAGACATAATGAAAAAAAGAAAACTACAACTAAATATCCTTAATGAACATAGACATAAAATCCTCAACAAAATGCTAGCAAATTGAATCTGTCAGTGCATCAAAAGTTAATTCACATGATCAAGTAAGCTTTATTTTTGGGATGCAAGGTTGGTTCAACCTACAAAGTCAACGAATGTGATTCACCTCATAAACATAATTAAAAACAAAAACTATATGATCATCTCAATAGATGCAGAAAAAGCTTTCTGTAAAATCCAACATCCCTTCATGATAAAAACTGTCAATAGGCATCAAAGGAACATACCTCAAAATATTAAGAGCCATCTATGACAAACCCACAGCCAACATCATATTGATGGGCAAAAGCTGGAACCATACCCCTTGAGAACCGAAACAAGACCAGGATGACCACTCCCGCCATTTTAATTCAACATGGTACTGGAAGTCCTAGCCAAAGCAATCAGGCAAGAGAAGGAAATAAAAGGCATTAAAATTGGAAAAGAAGTAGTGATACTGTCTCTCTTTGCTGATGAAATAATTTTATACATAGAAAACCCTAAAGACTCTGTCAGAAGGCTCCTGAAACTGATAAACAAATTCAATAAAGTTTCGGGATTAAAAAAATGTACACAAATTAGTAACATTTCTATGCACCACTAACATTCTAGCTGAGAACTAAATCAAGAACACAATTCCATTTACACTAGCCACAAAGAAAATAAAATACCTAGGAATCCATCTAACCAAGAAGGTGAAAATTCTCTACAAGGAGAACTACAAAACACTTCTGAAAGAAATAAGAAATGATACAAACAAATGGAAGAATATTCCATGCTCATGAATTAGGAGAACAAATAGTTAAAATCGCCATACTTCCAAAAACAAATTGCAGACTCAATGCTATCCATTTCAAAATGCAATGTCATTTTTCACGAAATTATAAAAATTTATTCTAAAATGTATTTGGCACCAAAAAAAGAGCCTGAATACACATAGGAATCCTAAGCACAAAGAACAAAGCCCAGGCATCACATTACCCAACTTCAAACTATACTACAATGCTATAGTAACCCAAACAGCATGATACTACTACAAAAACAGACACATAGACCAATGAGACAGAATAGAGAACCCAGAAATGAGGCTACATACCTACAATCATCTTTGAAAAAATTGACAAAAACAAGCAATGTGGAAAGTACCCTTTCTTCAATAAATAGTTCTGGGATAACTGACTACTCATATGCAAAATAATAGAACTGGACCCCTAACTCTCACTATATACAAAAATTAACCCAAGATAGTTTAAAGATTTAAATGTAAAACCTCAAAATATTAAAATTCTAGAAGAAAACCTAGGAAATATCCTTCTCAAGATAGACTTTGGCAAAGAATTTATGGCTAACTCCCCAAAACCAATTGTGACAAAGACAGAAATTGGGACCTAACTCAACTGAAGAGCTTCTGCACAGCAAACGAAAGTATCAACAGAGTAAACAGATAACCTACAGACTGGGAGAAAATATTTGCAAACTATGCATCTGACAAAGTTCTAATATCCAGAATCTATAAGGAATGTAAACAAATCAACAAGCAGAAAACCAAAAAACCTCAATTAAGTATGACATGAACAGACACTTCTCAAAAGAAGATGTACACATGGCCAAAAAACATATGAACAAATGCTTATTATCAGTAATCATCAGAGAAATGCAAATTAAAACCACAGTGAGATACCATCTCACAACAATCAGAGAAGCAGAAGCAATTACTAAAAAGTTTTTTGTTTTTTTTAATAACAGATGCTGACAAGATTGTGGAGAAAAGGGAACACTTATACACTCTTGGTGGGAATGTTAACTAGTTCAGCCAATGTGATAAGCAGTTTGGAGACTTCTCAAATAACTTAAAATAGAACTACTATTCAATCAAGCAATCCCACTACTGGGTATATACCAAAAGGAAGGTAATTAACTATGTCAAAAAGACACATGCACTAGTATATTCATTGCTGTGCAATTCAGAATAGCAAAGATTTGCAGTCAACCTAAGTGCTCACCAACAGTGGATTAGTTAAAGAAAATGTGCTACATATACACATGGAACATTACATGGCCATAAAAAATAATGAAATCATGTCCTTTGCAGCAACATGAATGTAGCAGGAGGTCAATCTCCTAAGTGAACTAACCCAGGAACAGAAAACCAAATACCACATGTTATCACTTATAACTGAGAACCAAACATTGAATACACATGAACATAAAGATGGAAACAACAGATACCGAGGACTACAGATGGGGGGAGGAGTAGGGAGGTATAGGCTGAAGAAACACCTGTTGGATTCTATGCTCATTGCCTGGGTGATGGCATTGTTGGAACCACAAACCTCAGAGTCACACAATATGCCTATGTAACAAACCTGCATGCATACCTTTAATCTACAGTAAAGGTTGAAGTTATTTAAAAATAGGAAGAAGAATTACCCTATACCTAAAGCTAAGATTTTTCCCTTTGAATATTCGTTTCTTCATCACTGTAGATAAGCAGGGAAAGAAAAATTATTATACTATACTAGCCTTTTATGTGACCATGAGGATTTGGGGTAGGTAGGTGGACAGCTTAGATAATTCACCAGGATATTGATACAGGCTCCATGGCTGGAAATAACCAAGGATGAGTGCTGTGTTTTGAGTGGTCTCCCCCAGAAACGTTTGTTGAAATCCTAACCCCTGGTATGTATGAATGTGAATTCATATTATATAAAAAGGAATAAATAGCCTGAGCACAGTGGCTCACACCTGTAATCCCAGCACTTTGGGAGGCCAAAGCAGGTGGATCATTTGAGGTCAGGAGTTCTGGCCAATATGGCAAAACTTCATCTCTACAAAAAAAAAATACAAAAAAAAAAATTGGCTGGGTATGGTGGCGCATGCCTGTAGTCCCAGCTACTCAGGAGGCTGAGGCAGGAATTGCTGAAACCTGGAAGGCAGAGGTTGCAGTGAGCCAAGATCATGCCACTGCACTCCAGCCTGGGTGAGACGGCAAGATATTCTGTCAAAAATAAATAAATAAAAAACAGAAGAAGAAATACAAGAATGACAGCAAACTTTGTATTCAAAACTATGAAAGTAAGAAATAGGTGGACCAACATTTTTAAAGTGCTACAAGAAAATATTTCAAACTAGAATCTTTCAACCTGAAAAGGAAAACATTTTCCTGCAATAAAGGTGCCATTAAAAATGTCTCACAATTTATTACATGAAGCATTGTTCTACAATAAATGTTAAGCTCTTGAAGCAAAGATTAATGATACCATTTAGTAACTTGAAATTCAAAAAAGTGGAAGTATCCCAAGAGGCAAATACGTGTGCAATTATTAAATGTTTCATATCAACACCCAACCTTATGCTGTCTACATAAGCTGCACTTCAAATACTAATCCACAAGATGTAAATATTGAAAGAATGACATTACATTGTCATGATAATGCCCAGTGCAAAATATGCTTCTAGTCAGTTGTATACATAGAATAGGTAAATGTTTGTAATAAAAAGTATTCCTCAATAGAAGTTTCTTAACTCAAAGAATGAAATATTTCACCATGCACATACAAAGAAGAGATATATGGAGATATGAAGAGGAGTACTTCATAATGACAAAGAGGCAAATTCATAAATAAGACATAATAATCCTAAATGCCTACACACCTAAAGCTGGAACCTCAAAACACATTAAATTAAAGGCATAATTCAAAACATAATCAATCACATCCAAATTGCAGCTAGAGATAGCAACATTCACCTCACTTCCAGAACAAGTACACAGAAAATTATTAAGCATATGAAAGACTTGAAAAACATTTGTGTAGGCGGCGGGTGCATAAGGTTGGGTGTTGATATGAAACATTTAATAATTTCAATAATCCTAGCACTTTGGGAGGCCAAAATGGGAGGATCACTTGAGGCCAGGAGTTTGAGACCAGCCTGGGCACCATAGTGAGACCCCGTCTCTATTTTTTTTAAATAAAGAAAAACATTTGAATGATTTTTTTCTTAACTGACATTTAGAAAACATCCACCTCAAATCTTCCTAATCCACAAACTTGTCTAGCACCCCTGGAACATTCACCAAAATAAATTTTTAAATGCTGAATCATAGGTAATATGATAGATGAAACAGTTGAATTAAATTATAAATGTACAACAAGGAAATGCTGGGGAAATTATCAAATATTTTAAAATTAATAAACACACATAGCAATAAACAATGAGTGGAAGAAAAACATTTCAAAGAAAGGTGGAAAATATTTTGTATCAATTAAAAATGAAAACACATCTCGGCAAATGACTGGGGATACAGATAGAACAGTGTTAAAGGAAAATAAGCCTCAAATGTCTGTGTTAGAAAAGAAGGAAGAGCTGAGTAAATAGGTAACTTTCGCTTGCAGAAATACTACACATCAGCAAATTAATTCCAAAGTAACGTCGAGGAAAAACATAAAATGGCAAGCAAATATATACGTGCATATGTACGTATATTCATAAATGACAAACAGGACAGAAAAATCAGTGACATCAATTTTGTTCCTTAGAAGAAACAGGAAAATTGACCCCAAAAAACTTTCCAGGCCACATTTGGTCATGATGGAAATATTTTGGCACTTCCTGGTTAAGCTCAACACCAACTTGCACCCAAAACCAATAATTTCATTCCTAGGTAAATATGTCTAATTAATTCAGCATATGTATGCAAGGGATCACACAGAAACACGATTATCAAGGCCCGAGTTATAAAAGAGAAAATCCGGAAACAACACAAATGTCCATGATAAAAAGAGTGGATAATTACATGTTGATAAAGTTATGTATGGACTATTAAACTGCAATCCAAAAGAATAAAATAGAACTATAAAATTCAATATGTATATGGTGTCATAGAAACACAAATGTGAGAAAAAGAAAGAAAAATACAAAATTTATATTTTTTAAAATTTGAAACAACTATATATGTGAGTGCTTAGGGTGTGTGTGTGTGTGTGTGTGTATAACCATATGTATATAAACGCACACATACGCACACATATAGAATGTCCCGGCCAGGCATGGTGGCTCACACCTGTAATCTCAGCACTTTGGGAGGCTGAAGTAGACAGATCACTTGAGGTTAGGAGTTCAAGACCAGCCTGGCCAACATGGAGAAACCTCCTCTCTACTAAAAGTACAAAAATTAGGTGGGCGTGATGGTGGGTGCCTGTAAATCCAGCTACTTAGGAGGCTGAGGCACGAGAATTGCGTGAACCTGGGAGGTGGAGGCTGCAATGAGCCGAGGTCTCACCACTGCATTCCAAACTGGGTGACGAAGTGAGATTGCGTCTCAAAAAAAAAAAAAGTTCTAAAAGTTGTGACTTGGGTGTGGCAGATTGTGACATACTGCCAGCTGCTAGAAATGCTGGGGCAGGAGGATTGCTTGAACTCTGAAGTCAAAGAACAGCCTGGGGAAAATAGCACATGAAGAAGAGTTTGAATCTCAGATAAAAACAACAAAAATACATCAAAAGTCTTTAATGTAAGCCAAGCATTCAGTCATCTCCTGTATGAGAGATTGGATCTGAGACGTGTTTTGAGTTGGTTATAGTGAAGGATGCAAGGTGTCAATTCTAGTTGGAACAATTTCCAGGAAGCCATGTTCTGCTCTTGACCAAACAGCCACTGGGCCTCATGCAAGGTAGAAATAGCCTGCATACGTCATCCTCCCATGATGTGGTCAGCATGTAAACTGCATGAGCCCCTCACAACATCCTGTGTGCTGCTGAACTGAGCTGGGGCGCAGCCGCCTGTCTGCACCGGCAGCACCATGTCGCTCATGGTCGTCAGCATGGCGTGTGTTGGTGAGTCCTGGAAGGGAATCGAGGGAGGGAGCGCTGGGGTGGAGATCTGGGCCTGGAGTGGAGATATGGGCCTGGAGTGGAGATATGGGCCTGGAGTGGAGATATAGGCCTGGAGTGGAGATATGGGCCTGGGGTGGAGATATGGGCCTGGAGTGGAGATATGGGCCTGGAACTGTAGATATGGGCCTGAAGTAGAGATATGGGCCTGGAGTAGAGATATGAGCCTGGAACTGTAGATATGGGCCTGGAGTGGAGATATTGGCTTGGAGTGCAGATATGGACCTGGAATTGAGATACGGGCCTGGAGGTGGAGATATGGGCCTAGAGTGGAGATATGGGCCTGGAGGTGGAGATATGGGCCTGGAACTGTAGATATGGGCCTGGAGTAGAGATATGGGCCTGGAGTGGAGATGTTGGCTTGGAGTGCAGATATGGGCCTGGAATGGAGACACGGGCCTGGAGGTGGAGATACAGGCCTGGAGGTGGAGATATGGGCCTGGAGTGTAGATATGGGCCTGGAGTAGAGATATAGGACAGAGGTGGAGATATAGGCCTGGAGTGGAGATATGGGCCTGGAGTAGAGATATAGGACGGAGGTGGAGATATGGGCCTGGAGTGGAGATATGGGCCTGGAGGTGATGTACAGATGGATCATCCATCATGATCTTTCTTTCCAGGGTTCTTCTTGCTGGAGGGGCCCTGGCCACATGTGGGTGAGTCCTTCCCCCAAACCTTAGGTTGTCATCTCCCCACATAAGATGATGTTCCTGAAACGGGAGGCAGGCGACACAGGGGGTTGACTGATGGGCTGACCATGGGAAGCCATGTGGGAATCTCTCATGAACTAGGAAAAGGAAGCCAGGGGAAGCTTCGCCACAGTTCTGTCCTAGCCCTCCCCGGCCTTTCTTTCCCTTGGCTGAGTCTGTGGGGACCCAGGGGGAGACTGAAGTGCTCAAAGGAGTGGTGTGCAGGGAGGAAGTGGTGTCACCGGCAGAGGAAGGGAGAGAAGCAGTGCAAGGAACAACAGGCCTCTGAGGACAAGAGCATAACTCACACCCTCCAGCGTTTCCATGACGGTAGGGGCTGCAATGTGGCTGCTGTCATTCTACCTAAGAGGTGGGGGAACCACAGTCATGACCCTGACATTCCAGATCTTCTAATAGGGGCTCAGTTGTTTATTATGGTTCATGCATTAGCTGATCATGCCCTCCATCCTGTGTCTACCTTGTGTTCTTTTATGTAAGTAATTTTGCAGTGTTAAAATCTAGTAAGAGTCGCTTCTTCAGCACCTGCTCAAAGTTCTCAGCTGACACTTGCTGTAGGGAGACGCCATGTCTATGCGGGATGGGTCCTTCCTGTAGCCCTGGGCACCCAGGTGTGGTAGGAGCCTTAGAAACGTGGAAATGGGAGAATCTTCTGAGCACAGGGAGGGAGGGGCGGCTCCACATCCTCCTCTCTAAGGTAGTGCCTCCTTCTCCCCCAGGTGGTCAGGACAAGCCCTTCCTCTCTGCCTGGCCCGGCACTGTGGTGTCTGAAGGACAACATGTGACTCTTCAGTGTCGCTCTCGTCTTGGGTTTAACGAATTCAGTCTGTCCAAAGAAGACGGGATGCCTGTCCCTGAGCTCTACAACAGAATATTCCGGAACAGCTTTCTCATGGGCCCTGTGACCCCAGCACATGCAGGGACCTACAGATGTTGCAGTTCACACCCACACTCCCCCACTGGGTGGTCGGCACCCAGCAACCCTGTGGTGATCATGGTCACAGGTCAGAGGCTTTCTGTCTGGGCTTCTCACTGTCCCACCTCCTGAATCCCAGAGCTTCTGGTGGGGGTGTCCATCAGGGTCCAATCATCCAGGCCCAGACTGTATTTGGGGTAAAGGGGGATTCAGTACAGAGAAATAGTTGCTGTGGTGGGAAGAATAATTGTCCCCAGTGATGGCTACATGGTAATCCATGAACCCTGTGACTATTTATGTCATAGGGCAGGGGACTGAAGGGGAAGATGGAGCTCAGGTTGTTGATGGGTTGACCTTGCGATGGGGAGACAGCCTGGACTGTCCTGCTGTGCTCAGAGTAATCACAAGGGTCCTCATGAGAGGAGGAGGAAGAGGAAAGTGGGGTTAGAGCAACGTCGTGGGAGGGAGACTCCATCAGCCACAGCGGGCTTTGAAGATGGGGGAAGGCCATGAGCCACAAAGGCAGTTGGCCTCTAAGGGCTGGAGAAGTCAAGGGAACTGATTCTTCCCTGAGTCTCCAGAGGAAACACAGCCCTGTAGATGCCTTGATTTTAGCCCAGAGAGAACTGGGTCCGATTTCTGTTCTCCAGAAGTGGAAGGGGTCATTGTATTCTCTCCTGCCCCATGTTTGTGACAATTTTCTCCAGCAGCAACAGGAAACCAACACAGGAACCCAGGTGAAGCACAAGTTAAGAAACCAAACAAGGAGAAGGTTGGCTACACTGATTTTAGCATGGGTGGGATACTGATGCTACCACCAGGCTCGATCCACATAGGGAGGGGTTGATGCTCCTGGAACCAGCACCAGGGGCCACCCTATGGAAGCTGGGGCCATGGAGAAGGCACAGACATGACAGGAGAGGCTCCCAATCCCCATCAGGAACAGGGACACTGATGCCTGCCTTACTGATGAGTTCGTACCTCCTGCCAGCCTTTCCAATCTGTCCAAAAGAGATTGATTCAGGCTGCTAAGAGCCTGGACATGCAGCCTGTCGTGGTTCCTCTTCCACCCCCACATAAACACCAGGAAAGAGATTAGTGGGAAACAGATACAACAGCATAAGAGGTGACACTGAGCACAGTGGGAAGGGAATCAGGGCTACTAGAGACAGAGAGACAGGGAAGAGGGAGGGAGACAGATGGAGGGACCTGCAACAGGGGTTATGGGCACAAAAGAACACGGAGACACAGAGAGGAAGGAGAGAGATAGACACCATGGAGGGGAAGCCTCACTTATTTCAGGTCCCATGAATGGGATGAGAAAGGGAGACGCCTTCTGAACTCACAACCTCTCTTCTTAGGAGTCCACAGAAAACCTTCCCTCCTGGCCCACCCAGGTCCCCTGGTGAAATCGGGAGAGACGGTCATCCTGCAATGTTGGTCAGATGTCAGGTTTGAGCGCTTCCTTCTGCACAGAGAGGGGATCACTGAGGACCCCTTGCGCCTCATTGGACAGCTCCACGATGCGGGTTCCCAGGTCAACTATTCCATGGGTCCCATGACACCTGCCCTTGCAGGGACCTACAGATGCTTTGGTTCTGTCACTCACTTACCCTATGAGTTGTCGGCTCCCAGTGACCCTCTGGACATCGTGGTCGTAGGTGAGAGAATACAGACCTGCCTCTCACCCTTGCTGGGAGATGGAGTGAATGATCTAGGACTGGAAGCCCCAGGTGGTCATGAGGAAGATGAGTGTGGGGTTCCTATGGAGAGAAAGTGACTTGGTGAGGTCTGTACCAACAAAGGCAGAGAAACAGGAGACACAAGTACAGACCTCATGTCATAACATAGAAGCCAGACACAGGGGCCATACAAGGTGTTAGAAAAAGAGATAAAGAGGTAAAGAAGACACAGAGAGACAGATATATCCCAGAGAGAGGTGTCCTTCTATGCTGACTTTGTTCAGAGACCAGGCACAGGTTAGAAGGTTCCATTCTGTTTTACCTCTACAAAGTGTTCTCTCCCAGGAGAACCCAAAGAGACACATCTATCTGGCCTGAGTTGGGCCGTGTGGCCCCAGGCTGGTGGCACCTACAGATGCTGTGTTTATTCTTAAACCTCTGCCTTCCGTGCAGTGGAGCTGTCGTCGTCGCAGGACACCATGGCCCCAGGTGAGGGAGCAGAACACCAACCCCTGTATGTTGTGAGTTCCTGGAGTCCCCATACTGGATTCTGAGGCTCATATTCAAATAGCACCACATGTTATAGGATTACTGAGAACAAAAGCCCACAGAGAGACACGGAGTGAAATCAGGGAAATCAAAAAGCAAAGACATGAACACACACACAGAATGAGCCAGAAGAAGGGAATTGAGAGACTCACAGACACATAAAGAGATAGAAAAAGAGGGCAGAGAAGTGGAGCGTATGATGGAAGGAAGCAGAGAAAAGCCCTAAAATCAGAGCCCTGAGGGAGGGGCACAAAGACAGGGAAAGATAAAGATGTGGGGATGGATTGCAGAGACTCCAAAAGGGAACTAGAGAGACTGAGAGGCAGAGAAAGACAAGGAGATGGAGAGAGACAGATGATAGATGGATAGATAGATATAGATAGATGAAAGATAAAAGGTAGATGATAGATAATAGAGAGACAGGTGATAGACAAATAGATGATGAATGACTGATAGATGATATAGATAGACAAGTAGAAAGACAGACAGATGATATATAAATAGATATAGA
This sequence comes from Homo sapiens, assembly GCF_000001405.40. Lineage (NCBI taxonomy): Eukaryota > Metazoa > Chordata > Mammalia > Primates > Hominidae > Homo > Homo sapiens. The sequence goes on along the minus strand of NT_187636.1, from coordinate 218,231 downwards.
GAGATAGAAAGATAAACACATGATGATAGATGGATAGATGCATACATACATACATTGATTGATAGATGATAGATAACAGAGAGATAGGTCATAGATACACAGATGATGATAGATGATAGATACATACATAGATAAATGATAGATCGATCAATAGATAGTAGATAGAAATATGCAGAAAGTTATGAGCAAGACAGAAAGTGAGAGACTCAGAATTAAAGAAAGAGGAAGATCAAGTCAACCAGTCCAAGGAGGGTCAGAGAGAATAAAATGGTACAAAAAAAGAAAACATAGCTAGGGATGGAGAAGTGAGGTCAGAGACCTAGAGAGACAGAGAAGGTGGAAGGAGGAAATAGACATGAAGAGAGATGGGGGTGGAGGGTGAGAGAGAGAAAGAGAGCATTAAGTCATAGAGCAGGGGAGTGAGTTCTCAGCTCAGGTGTGAGGAGAGCTGTGACAACGAAGAACCTCCCTGAGGAAACCACCTCTTCTCCTTCCAGGTCTATATGGGAAACCTTCTCTCTCAGCCCAGCCGGGCCCCACGGTTCAGGCAGGAGAGAATGTGACCTTGTCCTGCAGCTCCCGGAGCTTGTTTGACATTTACCATCTATCCAGGGAGGCAGAGGCCGGTGAACTTAGGCTCACTGCGGTGCTGAGGGTCAATGGAACATTCCAGGCCAACTTCCCTCTGGGCCCTGTGACCCACGGAGGGAACTACAGATGCTTCGGCTCTTTCCGTGCCCTGCCCCACGCGTGGTCAGACCCGAGTGACCCACTGCCCGTTTCTGTCACAGGTGAGAAAACACCATGCCTGTCCCATGTCTTGTGATCCTAGAGCCATAGCTGAGGAGCTTCCTGCTGATGATGGAGAGAAGCATGGACAGATGCCGAGACAGAACACACAGCATGGGTGTAAGGGCGGGGTCAGGGGGCAGGATGGCAGACAGGGCACCTCCAAACCCTCCTGTATGGCCTGCAAGGAGGCCCTTGATCAGGGTTCCAGGCACCCAGGCAGATGGAGAAAGAGGTCAGAACAGACCCAGAGGAGGGAGACTGGGCTCTGCCTGGGGAGATCAGAGGTTCTCTCAGCCCCTCAACCTTACCCACTTCCCAGAAGCCCATCCTGGCCTGTCACCCACAGAGAGATGTCATCACCAGCAACGCCTACACCCTTTTCTTTTTGTTTGAAGAAATATTTATTGAGGTGAAATATACCTATGTAATTTACCACCTTTACCATTTTTAAGTGTGAAGTCTACTGTTCATAAATACATTTATAGGCTGGGCACGGTGGCTCACTGTTGTAATCCCAACACTTTGAGAGGCCAAGGCAGGTGGATCATTTGAGATCAGGGGCTCAAGACCACCCTGGCCAACATGGGGAAAATCCATCTGTACTAAAAATACAAAATAATAATAATAATGATAATAATTAGCCGAGCATGGTGGCACATGCCTGTAGTCCCAGCTACTTGGGAGGGTTGGGCAGGAGTTGCACTTAATTGCAGGAGGCGGAGGTTGCAGTGAGCTGAGATCATGCCACTGCACTGCAGCCTGGGCAACAGAGAGAGACACTCTCTCAAAATTAATTAATTAATTAATTAGTATTCTTTTTTTTTTACCCTCCACCCTTCCCTTCCTGGCCTCTGGTAGCCACCATTCTACTCTCTACCTTTGTGAGATCCACCTTTTAGCTCCTGCATATGAGTGAGAAATGGAAATACTTGTAATGACCTCCAGTTCCATTCATGTGGCTGTAAATGACAGGATGTTACTCTTTCTATGGATGAGTTGTCCCTATTGTGTGTGTGTACCACATTCTCTCCATCCATTCACCCACTGATGGGCAGGTAGGTTGATCCACATCTTGGCTACTGTGAACACTGCTGGAACAGTCATGGGAGTGCAGATGTCACTTCGATACGCTGATGTCCTTTCCTTTGGGTTTACACCCAGTCATGGAATTGCTAGATCCTCTGGAAGTGTCTTTTTACATTTTGTTTTATGGTTTTTGTTTTTGTTTTTGTTTTTTTTAGACAGTTTCACTCTTGTTGCCCAGGCTGGAGTGCAGTGGTGCCATCTGGGCTCACTGCAACCTCCACCTCCAGGATTCAAGAGATTCCCCAGCCTCAGCCTCCCAAGTAGCTGGGTTACTGGCTCCCACCACCACACTCGGCTAATTTTTATATTTTTAGTAGAGACAGAGTTTCGCTATATTGGCCAGGCTGCTCTTCAACTCCTGACCTCAAGTGACCTACCCACCTCGGCCTCCCAATGTGCTGGGATTACAGGCATGAACCACTGTGCCCGACCTCATTTTATTTTTTGAGGAACTTCCATACTCTTCTCCTCTGTAATGGCTGTACTAATTTGCATTCGTATCAGCAGTGTACCAGATGCAACCCTGGTTGACTCAGCAGAGCAAGAGACGTGCAGTAAGAGAGAATTTAGCTTATTTATGCACACGACACTTCCACTCACTCACTCGTTCAGCCAATGCCCCATGCTCTGGCTGTGCAGTGTGGAATCTTTTCCTATTGTTGCCATAACAAATTTCCACAAGCTTCGTGGATGAAAACATGTTTTTCTTAATTATCTCACAGTGCTGTAACTCAGAAGTATGAACTGCATTTCACTGGGCTGATATCAAAGGGACAGTAAGGCTGGATTTCTTTTTAAGGTTCCAAGCAAGAATCTGCTCCTTAACGTTTCCCAGCTCCTAGAGGCTCCCACGTTCCTGGGCCCCTGGTCCCCTTCCTCCTTCCTCCTTCCTCAAAGCCCACAAAGGCTGGTCACGTCTCACATGGCATCATTCAGACTCTTCTTCTTTACCCATACCTTTTTCTCTGAATCCTGCTCTGCCTTCTTCCTCATCTTTTAAGGACTTTGGGATTCTATTGGGGTCACCAAGATAATCCATCTCAATCTCCCTAAAATCATCCAGCGTACCCTCTTTTTAAGTTCAGCTGATTAGCAACCGTAATGCCATCTGCAATCTTCATTCCTCCTTTCCTGTAAAATAACATATTCACAAGCTATGGAGGCTAAGACAGGGACATTTTGGGGGTGGGGCAGCATTCTCCTGCCTTCCACAAATGGTAAACAGGATGCATTTGGCCTCTGCTCTTGGGACGCTGATATTGCAGATGGGTAAATGCGAGGGCAGAGAATGAATGCACAAGGGTACCAATAAATGAATGATCCATTGGGAAGCATCTGTGCACCAAATCTGGGGTTTTTTGTGTGTGTGTGTGTTTTTTGTTTTCTTTTTTTTTTTTGAGTAGAGTCTCTCTCTGTTCCACAGGCTGGAGTGCAGTAGCACAATCTCAGCTCATTGCAACCTCTGCCTCCTGGGTTCATGCAATTCTCCTGCCTCAGCCTACCGAGTAGCTGGGATTACAGCTGTGCGCCACCACACTCGGCTAATTTTTTTGGTATATTTTTTAGTAGAAATGAGGTTTCACCATGTTGTGCAGGCTGTCTCAAACTCCCAATCTCAAGTGATCCCACCGCCTTAGCGTCCCTAAGTGCAAAGATTACAGGCGAGAGCTACTGCGCCCAGCCAGGATTTAAAATAAGTAATAGATAATGCTGAGTATATAATTTCAGGTGACAGAGAAGGTCTCACTGATCAGATAATATTTGTGACCTTAATGGAAAAAATGGATTCAACCCTTGGAAGATTGGCGGAAGGATTTTCCACACTGAGCTCTCAGCCGTGAAGGCACAAAGGTGGAAACATTCTTAGTTCAAGGAAGAGGCTCTGCCTCAAATGCTGGGAATGAGATGGGGAGAATGACAAGACAACTGTAGAGAGATGGAGAGCACACTGGGTACACAGGAAACTAAGGAGGAACAAGGAGCATGTTTTTGATACTCACAGCCCTTGGATTCAACTCAGAGCTAACTAGGAATCCCTACCTGATTAACAGTGACCGACATGAAAATAAGGGAGGCCCAGGTGCGTAACTGGAATCTAGGAGACCGTGGAAAAGGCAATTCCCGCCCCACTGGTGAAACGTAGGGTTGATTTACACACTAAATGAATGAAAGATGGATATAAGCTATGCTTGTGAGGTAGAATCATTTGCAGGGAGGGCTTGCTGGGTTTGATTTTTCCTAGTAGTTTAATCCTTGTTTCATTAATTTCTTTCTGAGATGTGTTTTTTTTCTACATCTAAATCAATACCTGGCAGAGGAGCGATAGACACATGAGGGGTGGTGCAAATGAAGGGACCTAGTATAATATAATATACAAGACTGTGGATGGGGGCTCACACCTGTAACCCAACACTTTGGGAGGCCAAGGCGGGTAGATCACTTAAGGGTAGGAGTTTGAGACCAGCCTGGCCAACATGGTGAAACCCCGTCTGTACTAAAAATACAAAAATTAGCCTGGTGCATTGGCACCTGCCTGTAATCCCAGCGACTGGGGAGGCTGAAGCAGAAGAATGGCTTCAACCCTGGAGGCAGAGGTTGAACTGAGATCGCATCACTGCACTCCAGCCTGACACAGGGGGACTCTGTCTCAAAAAATAAAAATAAAACATACATAATTATGACACACAGAAATTACAAAGGCAACTGGATACCAACCATCATTTTTCTATTTCTCTGTGTTTAATTCTTTGACCCTTTATCTTATCCATTAAACAATCAGGTTAAACCTCTTCCTTATTTGGCTTTCTGTGAGCTTGGGATCATATGGAAAATGTGAAAGCCTCCTGAACCCACCAGCACAGGTCCTGGAATAGAGAACGTGCTCTGTTCATGGCATAAAACTTGCCCCTTCACCCAAATCCCCCAATTCATCTCTACTTCCAATCACCTATGGAGATACAGATAGATCATGGGGAGGTAAACACTAATACTCTTTGGAGTGAGCTCAGATCTTGGACTCAGAGACCAGTGCCAGCACTAGCCCCTGGTCACATTTCGTACTAACTCACAGAAGGACAGGCTGTATTGAAACAATAAACGACGGAGAGGGCGGTCCTTCCCCGTGCTTCTCGGGTGGAATAGCAGCCTAATATATGTCTCAGCAGATCACAAAAAGTAGCATGTTGTTCCTGGGCTACATCATTATTTCATGGCTGTTTGATTTAAGTCAGTTCTACTTCACTTTTTTTATCTTGATTTCATTTTTTCTTTCTTTTCTTGGAGAATGTAATTTTTTTGAGTCAAGAGGGTTGTGGTGGTAGAAACTGTAAAGCACATTCGCTGTGTATCAATCCCAATCCAGTCTTCCCAGAGAAGACTCTAAACACCTCCTGGAATGTACCTGGGCCTATACCAATTCCTATCACTCACCGTCACTCCAGGGAGACAGAACACACAGAGAACACATTACACAGGCAGGTTCATTACTAACAGATAAGCAGCGAGTGACAACAGAAGCCTACATTTCAATGTGAGCCAGTCCCTCAAGGCTCAGAAAAGCTGCTCGAGACATGTGGAGTCACCCCATATGCAGTGTATCTGGGGGAAATCAAAAAGCAGCCCAGCCTGGGTTTTGTACCCTGGAGCCACAGGAAGCACTCAGCTAAAGCACTGCATGACGTCCTCCTCCAGGAAGAACAGGAAGACAGCCCAGGCTGTTCTGGGATGTTCCTCCTGATCTCAGGACTTTGCTGTCTTAGTCCATTTTTGTTGCTCTAAAGGAACACTTGAGCCTGGGTAACTTCTAAAGAAAAGAAATGTGTTTGCCTCACAGTTCTGCAGGCTGTACTGGAAGCATGGCACCAGCATCTATTTCTTGTGACGGCCTCAGGCTGCTCCCGCTCTGGCAGAAGGGAAGGAGGGTCTATCTGTGCAGAGACCACAGAGATCACACGGCAAGAGAGGGAGCAAGGGGGAGGGGGAGCGATGGAGCTTCCAAGTTCTTTTTAACAACCAGCTCTCCAGGAACTAATAGAGGGGGAACTTGCTAACCCCATCTCCTTGGGACAGCATTGATCTGTTCATGATGGATCCACCTCCATGACCCAAACACCTCCCAAGAGGCCCAACCTCCCACCCTGGGGGTTACATTTCAATGTGAGGTTTGAAGTGGTCAAACATCTAAACTAAAGCAGTTGTATCCTCAGCACGTTCTATGGTTACTACAACTGAGAAAGCAGGAGGAAGCTAGGTCTCCCGCCATCTGGGTGCTTGTCCTAAAGAGACGTTGTATGTGGTTACCTGTCAATCAAGAAATGTGAGACAATTCATATAGAGGAACTGCTATGATTAGCTTCTTATTGGTGTCTTGTCTTCCTCCAGGTAACTCCAGATACCTGCACGCTCTGATTGGGACCTCAGTGGTCATCATCCCCTTTGCTATCCTCCTCTTCTTTCTCCTTCATCGCTGGTGTGCCAACAAAAAGAGTAAGTCTCACGAAGCAGAAGCCAGAGAGCTCAGGGCCATGTGGGGAAGCAGGATGGGAGCACTCAGGTGTGTGTTCCTTACAGGCAGGATGGTCCCTGACCCAAGGCAGGAGCCACAGAGGCAGGACTTTCTAGAGAGAGCACCAGACTCCCTGCCCCTGCCTTCAGCTCACAGACCATTGCCTGATTCTGAACCATATCCTCACATCCCCTGCAGCCACTCACATCCAGGAGAAGGTTCCATGACAGGCAGAAAGTGGGAGACAGAATCAATGGGATGGGAACTCAGAGCTATTCATGGGATGGGTCCTTGAGCTCAGAGAGATAGAATGTCTGAGTCTGCTGTTGGCAACTGAGGGACCTCAGGCACCTATGGCCTCCCCCTGCATGTTGGTATCTGCTTATGAAATGAGGACCCAGAAGTGCCCTCCGAGCTGTTTTGACGACTTCCGTCTTCTACAGATGCTGTTGTAATGGACCAAGAGCCTGCAGGGAACAGAACAGTGAACAGGGAGGTAGGTGCTCCTCAGCCCAGCCTCATGGCTAGTCTTATTCCCAAAGAGTCCTGAAAAATGTGAGCACCCTCCCTCACTCAGCATTTCCCTCCCTCCAGGACTCTGATGAACAAGACCCTCAGGAGGTGACATACGCACAGTTGAATCACTGCGTTTTCACACAGAGAAAAATCACTCGCCCTTCTCAGAGGCCCAAGACACCCCCAACAGATACCAGCGTGTAACACGGAACTTCCAAATGCTGAGCGCAGATCCAAAGTTGTCTTCTGTCCACCAGCACCACAGTCAGGCCTTGATGGGATCTTCTAGGGAGACAATAGCCCTGTCTCAAAACCGGGTTGCCAGCTCCCATGTACCAGCAGCTGGAATCTGAAGGCGTGAGTCTGCATCTTAGGGCATCGCTCTTCCTCACACCACGAATCTGAACATGCCTCTCTCTTGCTTACAAATGTCTAAGGTCCCCACTGCCTGCTGGAGAGAAAACACACTCCTTTGCTTAGCCCACAATTCTCCATTTCACTTGACCCCTGCCCACCTCTCCAACCTAACTGGCTTACTTCCTAGTCTACTTGAGGCTGCGATCACACTGAGGAACTCACAATTCCAAACATATAAGAGGCTCCCTCTTAACACGGCACTTAGATACATGCTATTCCACCTTTCCTCATGTTGTTCCACCTTTCCTCAGAGTATCTTTCAGCCTTCTGTCAGCAGTAAAACTTATAAATTTTTTTTATAATTTCAATGTAGTTTTCTATTCTTCAAGTAAACATGTCTGCCCTCATGGTTTCGTCAATGGGACTCTTTTCTTGCCTAAGGCTTCCGGTGTTATCATTACCACGTCCACATAACCCCATCTGTTCTCCGCTGGGTTCTCACCCCTGGACTCTGAGCTTCTGGAAGCAGGGTGGAGCCTGAATTGTCTCTGAGACTCCAGTTTCCATCCAAAGATGCAGCACATAGGAGGTTCCAAGGATGGTGAATCAGATGAACAAGTGATATTCTTACTCTCTGCAGATCTGGAAAGCTGGCAGAGTCATTCCACGATGAAACATTTGTAGAGTCATAGGCCTTGTTAGTCTCATCTCCACAGGGACACGTATCAACACATCATCTTTCATACTACTATAAATAGACAGTCACTCCTCCATATCTCTGGGGTTTACACATGTTTATTGAATCAGCAATAAATCAAAAATATTTTGAGAAAAAAAATCCCCGAAGTTTCAAAAAGCAAAAAACTATGTTGAATCGACACAAATTGAGTGGCGTGTAGGCTGTGTCAGGAATTATAAGTAATCAAGAGATGATTTCATGTATACAGGAGGATGTGCATGGGTTCTATGCAATTGCTATGCTATTTTTTTTTTTGAGACAGTCTCACTCTCTCACCCAGGCTGGAGTGCAGTGGCGTGATCTCAACTCACTGCAACCTCCGCCTTCCAGGTTCAAGCGATTCTCTTCCCTCAGCCTCCTCAGTAGCCTCCCCTAGGATTACAGGCACGTGCCACCCTGCACAGATAAATTTTTTTGTGTGTGTATTTTTAGTAGAGACGGGGTTTCAGAATGTTGGACCAGCTGGTCTTGAACTCCTGACCTTGTGATCTACCCAGCTCAGCCTCCCAAAGTGCTGGGATTACGGGCGTGAGCCACGGTGCCCAGCTTCACTATGCCATTTCATGCAAGGGGCTTGAGCATCTGCAGATTTTGGTATCTGAATGGGGATCCTGGAACCAATCACCCAGGTATAGTGAAGGACCATGGTATATAATTTTTATTTGTCAATCTTAAAAATAAAGCATAAAAAATTTACAACAACAAGATAAAAAATAAGAAGTGTTTTTATAGTGTGAGGATAAGTTTAGATTTATTTTTTCCTACGTGTAACCCTATGGTCCTGTGTTATTTGTTGAGAAAATATTCTATTCCACCTTAAACTACATGGCAGCCTTTGTCAACTATAAAGGGACTGTGTATCCACAGATGTATTTTAGACACAGTTTTCTGTCCAGTGGTTCTCTGTATCCCCTCTCATGAGGATGCTGCATTTTATATAAACTTATAGAACCCCTTAAAATTTGGTAACCTGAGTCCTCTGATTTGTTATTATAGGTTATTTAGTTTGCTTTTTTTTTTTCTTGAGACAGACTCTTCCTCTGTCACCCAAGCTGGAGTTCAGTGGCTTGAGCTCAGCTCACTGCAACCTCCGCCTCCCAGGTTCAAGCTATTCTGATGCCTCTGGTTTAGTACTAGAAACTCAAGCAGGAAAATTAGAATGGCTTCTTGTCACAATTACTCTGATAATGTTAATAATACCTGTTAGACATTTTGCACATTACATATGAAGAAGAGTTTGAATCTCAGATAAAAACAAAAATACATCAAAAATCTTTAATGTAAGCACAGAATTCAATCATCTCGTGTATGAGAGGTTGGATCTGAGACGTCTTTTGAGTCTGGTCGTAGTGAAGGACGCAAGGTGTCAATTCTAGTGAGAACAATTTCCAGGAAGCCATGTTCCGCTCTTGAGCGAGCACCCACTGGGCCTCATGCAAGGTAGAAAGAGCCTGCGTACGTCACCCTCCCATGATGTGGTCAACATGTAAACTGCATGGGCAGGGCGCCAAATAACATCCTGTGCGCTGCTGAGCTGAGCTGGGGCGCGGCCGCCTGTCTGCACAGACAGCACCATGTCGCTCATGGTCGTCAGCATGGCGTGTGTTGGTGAGTCCTGGAAGGGAATCGAGGGAGGGAGTGCGGGGATGGAGATCGGGGCCCAGAGTTGGAGATATAGGCCTGGAAGTGGAGTTATGGGCCTAGAGATGGAGTGATGGGCCTAGAAGTGGAGATCTGGGCCTGGAGTGGAGATATGGGCCTGGAGGTTGAGATATGGGCCTGCAGTAGAGATATGGGCTTGTAGTGGAGACATGGGCCTGGAGATGGAGATATGGGCCTGGAGATGGAGATATGGGCCTGCAGTAGAGATATGGGCCTGGAGTGGAGATATGGGCCTGGAGTGGAGATATGGATCTGGAGGTGGAGATACGGGCCTGCAGTAGAGATATGGGCCTGGAGTGGAGATATGGGCCAGGAGTGGAGTTATGGGCCTAGAGGTGGATATCTGGGCCTGGAGTGGAGATATGGGCCTAGGAAGGAGATATGGGCCTGGGTGTGGAGATATGGGACTGGAGAGGTGATATGGGCCTGGAGTGGAGATATGGGCTTAGGGTGGAGATCTGGGCCTGGGGCAGAGATATGGGACTGGATTGGAGATATGGGCCTAGGGTGGAAATATCAGCCTGGAGTGGAGATATGGGCTTGTGGTGGGGATCTGGGCCTGGAAACTGGGTCTCTGCACAGCCGACAGCCCTGTTCTTGGGTGCAGGTAGGCACTGAGGGTGAGTTTAACTTCAGCCCAGGAAGGGCCTGGCTGCCAAGACTCACAGCCCAGTGGGGGCAGCAAGGGAGTCCTGGTTTGCCTGCAGATGGATGGTCCATCATGATCTTTCTTTCCAGGGTTCTTCTTGCTGCAGGGGGCCTGGCCACATGAGGGTGAGTCCTTCTCCAAACCTTCGGTTGTCATCTCCCCACATAAGAGGATTTTCCTGAAACAGGAGGGAAGTCCTGTCAGGGAGTCTCTCATAAACTGGGAAGAGAGGACCCTGGGGTGCTCGGCCCACATTTCTGACCTTGCCTCCCTGGCCTCTCAACCCCTTGGCAGAGTCAAGTTCTGTGGGGACCAGGGTTAGACTGGGGTGCTCAAAGCTGGGGTGTGTGGTGGGGAAGTGGTAGGAACAGCAGATCCTCTGAGGACAAAGGTGTTACTCACACACTTCAGCGTTTCCATGATGGTAGGGGCTGCAGTGTGGCTGCTGTCATTCTACCAGAAGAGGTGGGAAACCACAGCCATGGCCCTGACATTCCAAATCCTCTGATGGGGGCTCAGTTGTTTATTTTCGTTCAGGCATCCGCTGATATCCACTCACAAAGGACATGCCCTCCACCTCATGTCTACCCTGTGTTGTTTTATGTGAGTAATCTTACAGTATTAAAATCTAGTAGGAGTCTCTTTACTCAGCACTTGCTCAAAGTTCTCAGCTGAGGCTTTTGTTGTAGGGAGACACCATGTCTTTGCGGGATGGGTCCTTCCTTCAGCCCTGGGCACCAAGGTGTGATAGTAGCCATAGAAACGTGGAAAGCGAGGAGAATCTTCTGAGCACAGGGAGGGAGGGGCAGTTCCACATCCTCCTCTCTAAGGCGGCGCCTCCTTCTCCCCAAGGTGGTCAGGACAAGCCCTTGCTGTCTGCCTGGCCCAGCCTTGTGGTGCCTCTAGGACATGTCATTCTTCGGTGTCACTCTTATCTTGGGTTTAACAACTTCAGTCTGTACAAGGAAGGTGGGGTGCCTGTCCCTGAGCTCTACAACAGAATATTCTGGAACAGCCTTTTCATGGGCCCTGTGACCCCCGCACAACAGGGACATACAGATGTCGGGGTTCACACACACACTCCCCCAGTGGGTGGTCAGCACCCAGCAACCCCCTGGTGATCGTGGTCATAGGTCAGAGGGCTCCTGTCTTGGATTCTCCTTGTCCCACCTCCTGAATCCCAGAGCTTCTGGTGGGCATGTCCTTGAGGGTCCCATCACGCAGGCCCTGACTGTATTTGTGGTAAAGGGGGATTGAATACAGGGAAATGGGTGCTGTGGTGGGAAGAATAATTGTCCCCAGTGATGACTACATTCTAATCCCTGGAGTCTGTGACTATGTATGTTATAGGGGAAGGGACTGAAGGGGAAGATGGAGCTCATGGGGAGACAGCCTGGACTGTCCCACTGGGCTCAGTGTAATCACAAGGGTGCACATGAAAGGAGGAGGAAGAGGGGAGTGGGGATTAGAGCAGTCCAGTGGAAGTCTTCACCAGCTTTGAAGGTGGAGGAAGGCCAAGAGCCATGAATGCAGGTGGCCTATAGAGGCTGGAAAAGTCAAGGAACTGATTCTCCAGAGTCTCCAGAGGAAACGAAGCCCTGCAGATGCCTTGATTTTAGCCCAGGAAAAATAGGGTCCAATTTCTGTCTCCAGTACTGGAAGGTGTCAGTGTGGTCTCTCCTGCTTCCATGCTTCTGATAATTTTGTACAGCAGCAACAGGAAACCAACACTGGAACCCAGGTCAAGGACAAGTTAAGAAACAACCCAAGGAAAGCCAGGCATGGTGGCAGGCGCATGTAATCCTAGCGACTCAGGAGGCTGAGGGCAGGAGAATCACTTGAACCCAGGAAACAGAGGTTGCAGTGAGCCTAGACCACACCACTTCACTCCAGCCTGGGTGAAGGAGTGAGACTCTGTCTCCAAAATTAATTAATTAATTAAAGAAACCAAACAAGGAGAAGGTTGGCTACCCTGAGATCAGCAAGGGTGGGATGATGATGCCACCACCAGGCTCCATCCACATAGGGAGGGGTTGATACTCCTCCAACCAGCACCAGGAGCCAGCCTATGGAAGCTGGCACCATGGAGAAGGCACAGGCATGGCAAGAGTGGCTCCCAGTCCCGACCAGGAACAGGGTGTGTGGACACTGGTGCCTGCCTTATTCATCAGTTCATACCTTCTGCCAAGGATTGCAATTCATCCAAAAGAGATTGAACAAGGCTGATAAGAGCCTGGATGTGCAGCCTATCCTGGTTCCTCTTTCACCCCCACATAAACAGCAGGAAAGACGTTAGTGTGAAATAGATACAACACCCCAAGAGATGAGGCTAAGCCCAGTGGGAAGGGAATCAGAGGCTACTAGAGACAGAGGGACAGAGAAGAGGGAGGGAGACAGATGGAAGGACCTGCACCAGGAGTTATGGGCACAGAAAAGAACATGAAGACACAGAGAGGAAGGAGAGAGACAGACACCAGCAAGGGGAAGCCTCACTCATTCTAGGTGCCATGGATGGGATGATAAAGAGAGACACCTTCTAAACTCACAACCTCTCTTCTTAGGAGTCCACAGAAAACCTTCCCTCCTGGCCCACCCAGGTCCCCTGGTGAAATCAGAAGAGACAGTCATCCTGCAATGTTGGTCAGATGTCAGGTTTGAGCACTTCCTTCTGCACAGAGAGGGGAAGTATAAGGACACTTTGCACCTCATTGGAGAGCACCATGATGGGGTCTCCAAGGCCAACTTCTCCATCGGTCCCATGATGCAAGACCTTGCAGGGACCTACAGATGCTACGGTTCTGTTACTCACTCCCCCTATCAGTTGTCAGCTCCCAGTGACCCTCTGGACATCGTCATCACAGGTGAGAGTGTCCGGACATTCTCATTGTCATTGGGCTGCAGAGTGAATGATCCACGACTTGGAACCCCCAGGTAGTTGTAAGGAAGATGAGCTTGGTATTCTTATGGAGAGAGACTGACTTGCTGAGGTTTGTACCAACAGAGACAGAGAAACAGGAGACACAAGTACAGACCAGGTGTCATAACGGAGGACAGACACAGGGGCCATACAGGGAGTTAGAAAAGACAGAAAGAGTTAAAGGAGACAGACAGACAGACATGTCCCAGAGAGAGGTGTCCCTCCATGCTGACTTTGCTCACAGACCTGGCACAGGATAGAAGTTTCATTTCTGTTTTACCTCCACAAAGTGTTCTCTACCAGGAGAACCCAAGGACACCCATATTTCTGACCTGAGTTGGGCCCTGTGGCCTCAGGCCTTGTGGCACCTACAGGCCATGTTTATTCTGACACCTCTGCCTTCCATGTAATGGAGAGTAACCGTCCCAGGATATCATGGCCCCAGAACACCAACCCCTGTATGCTGTGTGAACTTGTGGTCTCCAGACTGGATTCTGAGGCTCACATTCCAAATAACCCCACATATGAAAGGATCACTGAGAGGCACAGAGAGAAATCAGGAACACCAAAAAGCAAAGACATAAACACACAGAGAATGGGCCAGAGGAAGGAGATTGAGAGACTCACTGACACATAAAGAGAGAGAAAAGAGGGCAGAGGAGTGGTGAGAATGATGGAAGGGAGCAGAGAAAAGCACTAAAATTAGAGTCCTGAGGGAGAGGCACAAGGACATAGAAAGATGGAGATGTGGGGATGAACTGCAGAGATTCCAAAGAGAACTAGAGAGACCGAGAGGCAGAGCAAGACAGATGATAGATGGATAGATATAGATAGATGATAAATAGGTAGATGATAGATAATAGGTTAAAGATACATAGATGATGATTGATTGATTCATTAATAGATAATACATAGAGATGATGATGATGAAGACAGATAGATAATACGTACAGATAGAGAGGCAGACAGAAATCATAGAGAGAGAGATGATACATACATATAAATAACAGATGATTGATGGATAGATAGACAACTGATAGATACATAGATGATATATAGATATAGATGACAGGTAGAGAATTTGTAGATAGGCACCGAATAGATAAATAGATAGATCGACAGATAATAGATAGAAATATGCAGAAAGTTATGAACAGGACACAACGTGAGAAACTTAGAATTTAAAAAAGTAACATCAAGTCAACCAATCCAAGGAGAGTCAGAGAGAATAAAAGAATCCAAAAAGGGAAAACATATCTAGAGGTGGGGAAGCGAGGTCAGAGACCTAGAGAGACAGAGAAGGTGGAAGGAGGAAATAGACATGAAGAGAGATGGGGTGGAGGGTGAGAGAGAGAGAGAGAGAGCATTAGGTCATAGAGCAGGGGAGTGAGTTCTCAGCTCAGGTGAAGGGAGCTGTGACAAGGAAGATCCTCCCTGAGGAAAATGCCTCTTCTCCTTCCAGGTCTATATGAGAAACCTTCTCTCTCAGCCCAGCCGGGCCCCACGGTTTTGGCAGGAGAGAGCGTGACCTTGTCCTGCAGCTCCCGGAGCTCCTATGACATGTACCATCTATCCAGGGAGGGGGAGGCCCATGAACGTAGGTTCTCTGCAGGGCCCAAGGTCAACGGAACATTCCAGGCCGACTTTCCTCTGGGCCCTGCCACCCACGGAGGAACCTACAGATGCTTCGGCTCTTTCCGTGACTCTCCCTATGAGTGGTCAAACTCGAGTGACCCACTGCTTGTTTCTGTCACAGGTGAGGAAACCCCATATCTGTCTCATGTCCTATGATCCTAGAGCCTTAGCTGAGGAGCTTCCTGCTGATGATGGAGAGAAGCATGGACAGATGCAGAGAGAAGACGAAGCTTGGGTGTGAGGGAGGGATCAGGGCACAGGATGGCAGACAGGGCACCTCCAAACCCTCCTACACGGCCTGCATGAAGGCCCGCGGCCAGGGCTCCAGGCACACAGGCAGATGGAGAAAACGGTCAGGAGAGACCCAGAGGAGAGAGACTGGGCTCAGTTTGGGAAGATCAGAGGTTCCCTCAGCCCCTCAACATTATCCATTTCCCAGAAGCCCATCCTGGCCTCTCACCCACACAGGGATGTCATCACCAGCAACCCCTACACCCTTTACTTTTGTTTGAAGAAATATTTATTGAGGATAAATATACCTATATAGCTTACCACCTTTAACATTTTTTTTTTTTTTGAGGCAGAGTCTAGCTCTGTCCCCTATGCTGGAGTGCAGTGGCACAATCTCAGCTCACTGCAATTTCCGCCTCCTGGGTTCAAGCGATTCTCTTGCCTCAGCCACCTGAGTAGCTGGTGCTACAGGCGCGCACCACCACGCCAGGCTACTTTTTGTATTTTTAGTAGAGAGGTGGTTTCACCATGTTGGTCGAGCTGGTCTCCAACTCCTGACCACGTGATCCACCCGCATGTGCCTCCCAAAGTGCTGGGATTACAGGCATGAGCCACCACGCCCAGCCACATTTACCATTTTTAAGTGTAAAGTCTAGTGGTCATAAATACATTTATATATATATATATTTTTTTTTTTTTTTTACCCTCCACCCTTTTCTTCCTGGCCTCTGGAAGCCATCATTCTACTCTCTACCTTCATGAGATCCACCTTTTAGCTCTGTATATGGGTGAGAAATGGGAATCTTTGTAATGACTTCCAGTTCCATCCATGTGGCTGCAAATATCAGGATGTTATTCTTTCTATGGATGAGTAGTCTCCACTGTGCGTATGTACTACATTCTCTCTATCCATTCATCCACTGATGGGCAGGTAGGTTGACTCCACATCTTGGCTACTGTGAACAGTGCTGCACCAATCATACGAGTGCAGATATCACTTCGATATATTGATTTACTTTCCTTTGGATATAAACCCAGTAGTGAAATTGCTGGATACTATGAAAGTTCTCTTTTTAGTTTTTCGTTTGTTGTTTTGTTTTTGTTTTTGAGACAGTTTCCCTCTGTGCCCAGGCTGGAGTACAAGTGATGTCATCTTGGCTCATTGCAACCTCTGCCTCCTGGGTTCAAATGATTTTCCTGCCTCAGCCTCCCTAGTAGCTGGGATTACAGGTGCACGCCACCATGCCTGGCTACTTTTTGTTTTTTTTAGTATAGATGGGGTTTCCCCATGTTGGCTGGGCTGCTCTCAAACTCATGACCTCAACTGAGATGCCCGCCTCAGTCTCCCAAAGTGCTGGGATTACAGGCCTGATCCACCACACCCAACCTCTTTTTAGTTCTTTAAAGGACTTCCATACTTTTCTCCGTAATCGCTGTACTAATTTACACTCCTCCCAACAGGGTACCAGGGTTCTCCTTTCTCTACCACCTTGCCAGCATTTCTTTTGCCTGTCTTGCAGCTAAAAGCCATTTTATTTTATTTCATTTTATTTTGAATGGAGTTTTGCTCTTCTCACCCAGGCAGGAGTGCAGTGGCGCTATCTCGGCTCACCACAACCTCCACCTCCCAGGTTCAAGCGATTCTCCTGCCTCAGCCTCCCGAGTAGCTGGAATTACAGGCACACTCCACCACGCCCGACTAATTTTTGTATTTTTAGTAGAGACAGTGTTTCTCTATGTGGGTCAGACTGGTCTCAAACTCCTGACCTTATGAGATTCACCCACCTCAGGCTCTCAAAGTTCTAGGATGACAGACGTGAGCCACCACGCCCGGCCTAAAAGCCATTTTAATGGGGTGAGATGAAAACTCACTTTGATTTTAATTTGCGTTTCTCTGATGATGAGTGATACTGAGCACTTTTTAGTATGTGGGGAAATTTCATGTCTTCTGCTCCTTTTTCAATTAAATCATTTGTTTTATTGAGTTGTTTGAGCTTCTTATATTTCTAGTTATTAATCCCATCTCAGATGCATAGTTTGCACATATTTGCTCCCAATCTGTGGGTTGTCTCTTCACTTTGTTGGTTTATTTTTAGCAGTGCAGAAGTTGCTTAGTTTGAGGTAATCCCAATGGTCTATTTTTGCTTCGATTACTTGTGTTTTCAAGGTTTAAAACAAAATGTCTTTCTTCAGACAAATGTCCTGGAGCATTTCCCCAATATTTTGTTCTACGTGTTTCATAGGTTCAGGCCTTAGACTCACATCTTTAATCCATTTTCATTTGATTTTTGTGTATGGTGACAGGTAGAGGTGCAGTTTCATTCCTCTGCATGTCGATGTCCAGGTTTCCCTGCACTGTTTATTGAAAAGACTGTCCTTTCCTGATTGTGAGTTCTTGGCACCTTTGTCAAAGTCCATTGGATGGGCTGGGCTTGGTGGCTGACACCTGCAATTTCAGCACTTTGGGAGGCCGAGGCGGGTGGATTACCTGAGGCCAGGAGTTCAAGATCAGTCTGGACGACGTGATGAAACATCGTCTCCACTAAAAATATAAAAATTAGCTGAGCATGGTGGTCAGCACCTGTAATACCACTACTCAGGAGTTTGAGGCAAGAGAATGATTGAACCCAGGAGGCTGAGGTTGCAGTGAACTGAGATTGCACCTCTGCACTCCAGCCTGAGTGACAGAGCAAGACTCCATCTCAAAAGAAAAAATAAAAAACCATTGGATGTAAATGCATGGAATATATCTGTGTTATTCATTCTGCTCCGTTGTTCTATGTCCCTTTCTTTATGCCAATGTCATGCTGTTTTGCTTACTACAGCTCTGTAACATATTTTGAGATCAGGTAGTGTGATGCTCCTGTTTTCTCTTTATACCTTGAAGTCTCAAGACAGTGGGCGTCACATAAAAAAATTATGGAAAAAAGGATCCCAGGACTCCCAGGGCCCAATATTAGATAACAGAGTGTTGGCCATGAACCATCCTCAAAGATTTCCACTGAGTAGAGGACAGACACCCTCATTTCCTCACCTCTCTCCTGTCTCATGTTCTAGGAAACCCTTCAAATAGTTGGCCTTCACCCACTGAACCAAGCTCCAAAACCGGTGAGTACAGAACCCTCTTATATCCGCTTTTGGAAACCTGGGGAGGTGGAAACCTTGGATTCAGGCGTTGACTCAGCATCTCACAGCTCTGACATTGTACCCCTGTCTTCCACCATCTCCGAACTCCAGATACTCCTACAGCAAAAGGGATCTGGGTCCAACACAGGGCTCAGTGAAATCTCTTCATCTCTCATTTTATGGAGCTGAGACTTCCTACAAGCTAGAAGAATGATTGCCAATCTGACATCCTTCTCAGGAAAAATGCAATGTTTGTTCTGCCTGCATTCCTAACTGGAGGATAAATTCCTGGAGACTTGAGAGAGGGAAGGGAAGGGAACATCTGATGAGGGCGAGGTGTTTTAGAGAAGTTCCACTTGCCAAGGAATGAGCTCCTATAGGTCATGAAGCAACCCTGGCTGACTCAGCAGAGAAAGAGCCTTGCTGTAACAGAGAACAGAGCTCATGCACGCACACTTCGACTCACTGACTCATTCAGCCACGGCCCCATGCTCAGGCTGTGCACTGTGGAAGCTTTTCCTATTGTTGCCATAACAAATTTCCACAAGATTCGTGGGTGAAAACAAAACGGTTTTTTAATTATCTTACAGTGCTGTAGCTCAAAGTATGAAGTGCATCTCACTGGGCTAAAATCAAGGTGACAGCAAGGCTGCCTTCCCTCTGAGGATTCCAGGCAAGAATCTGCTTCTCACTTTTCTCAGCTTCTAGAGGCTCCCACATTCCTTCGCTCCTGGTCCCCTTCCTCCTTCCTCAAAGCCCACAAAGACTGGTCACATCTCACATGGCATCACTCAGACCCTTCTTCCTTACCACACCTCTTTCTCTGAATGCTGCTCTCCCTTCTTCCTCATCTTTTGAAAACTTGGGGATTCTATTGGGTTCACCAAGATGAAAATCCATCATAATCTCCCGGAAATCATTCAGGATACCCTTGTTTTAAGTTCAGCTGATTAGCAACCATAATTCCATCTGCAATCTTCATTCCTCCTTTCCATGTAAAATAAGATATTCACAAGCTATGGAGGCTAGGACAGGGACATTTTGGGGTGGGACAGCATTCTCCTGCCTTCCACAAACAGTGAACAAGATGCATTTGGCCTCTGCTCTTTGGACACTGATATTGCAGATGGTTAAATGGGAGGGCAGAAAATGAATGCACAAGTGGACCAATAAATGAATGATCCATTGGGAAGCATCTGTGTATGAAATCTATTTGTTTGTTTCTTCATTTGTTTATTGAGACAGAGTCTCCCTCTGTCTTCCAGGCTACAGTGCAGTGTCACCATCTTGGCTCACTGCAACCTGCACCTTCTGGATCCAAGTGATTCTCCTGCGTCAGCCTCTCAAGTAGCTGGGATTACAGGCAACTGCCACCATGCCCGGCTAATTCTTTTTGTATATTTTTTGTAGAGGATGTTTCACCATCTTCGCCAAGCTTCTCTGAAACTCCCAACCTCAAGTGATCCGACCGTCTCAGCATCCTAAAGTACTGGGATAACTGGCGTGAGCCACTGTGCCCAGCCAGAATTTAAAATAAATAATACATAATGCTGAGTGTATGATTTTGGGTGACAGAGAAGATCTCACTAATCAGATATTTGTGACATTAATGAAAAACACGGATTGAACCCCTGAAAGATTGGCGGAAGGATTTTCCACACACAGCTGTCAGCCGTGAAGGCAGAAAGCTGAAAACAATCTGATGTGGAAGGAAGAGGCTCTGCCTCAAATGCTGGGAATGAGGTGGGGAGAATGACAAGACGACTGTGGAGAGACGGAGAGCACACTGGGTACACAGGAAACTAAGGAGCAACAAGGAGTGTGTGTTTGACACTCACAGCCATTGGATTCACCTCGGGGTAGCCAGGAATCCCTACATGATTAATAGTGACTGACATGAAAATAAGGGAGGCCCAGGTGCATAACTGGAATCTAGGAGACTGTGGAAAAGGCAATTCCCGCCCCACTGGTGAAATGTGGTGCTGATTTAGACCCTAACTGGGTGAAGCAGATGGATATAAGCTATGCTTGTGAGGTGGAATCATTGGCTGGAAAGGCTTGCTGGGTATGATTTTCCTAGTTGTCTAATCCTCGCTTAATTTCTTTCTGAGCTTTATTCCTACTACACATAAATCAATACCTGGCAAAGGAGTGACAGATATATGAGGGGTGGTGGAAATGAAGGGACCTATTATAGCATAATATACAAGTCTGTGAACGGTGGCTCACGCCTGTAACCCAGCACTGCAGGAGGCCAAGGCGGGTGGATCACATGAAGTCAGCAGTTCGAGACCAGCCTGGCCAACATGGTGAAACCCTGTCTCTAGGAAAAACACAAAAATTAGCCGAGCATGGTGGTGCATCCCTGTAATCCCAGCTCCTACTCTGGAGGATGAAGCAGGAGAATGACTTCAACCCAGGAGGTGGAGGTTGCAGTGAGTGGAGATTGCATCACTGCACTCCAGCCTGGGTGACACAAGGAGACTCCGTCTCAAAAAATAAAAATAAGAAATGCATAAATATAAATATAATATAACACATGCAAATGAGAAAGGGACCTGAATTCCAATCATGATTTTTCTATTTCTCTATAATTACTTCTTTGATCCTTTATCTTATCCATTAGGCAATGAGCCTAAAACCTCTTCCCTATTTGGCTTTCTGTGAGCATGAGATCATATAGAAAATGTGAAAGCCCGCTGAATCCTCCAGCACAGATCCTGGAATACACAAAGTGCTCTGTTCATCACAAGAAAACATGCCCTCTCACCCAAATCCCCCACCTCACCCCTACTTCCAATCATCTGTGGAGATTCAGATAGGCCATGGGGAGGTAAATTCTAATACTCCTTGGAGTGAGTCCAGATCTTGGAATCAGAGATTAGCGTCAGCAGTAGCTCCTGCTCCCCTTTCCTACTAATTCACAGGAGGACAGGTGGTATTGAAGCAATAGATGGCCGAGGGGGTGGTCCTTCCCCCAGCCTCTCGGGTAGAACAGCAACCTAACATGTGTCTCCTGAGATCACAAAGAGTAGCACGTTTCACATGGGCTTCAACACTGTTTCCTGGCCATTTGACATAAGAGAATTCTACTTCGCTTTTTTTATCTTGATTTCACTTTTGTTTCCTTTTCTTGGAGAATGCAAGTTGTTTGACTCAAGAATGCCGTGGATGTAGAAATCCTAAAGCACAGTCGCTGTGTATCAATCCCAGTGCAGTCTTCCCAGAGAAGACTCTAAACACCTCCTGGACTGCACCTGGGCCTATGCCAATTCCTATCACTCACCGTCACTCCAGGGAGACAGAACACACAGAGAATACATTACACAGGCAGGTTCATTACTAACAGATAAGCAGCGAGTGACAACAGAAGCCTACATTTCAATGTGAGCCAGTCCCTCAAGGCTCAGAAAAGCTGCTCGGGACATATGGAGTCACCCCATTTGCAGTGTAGCTGGGGGAAGCCAGAAAGCAGCCCAGCCTGGGTTTTGTACCCTGGAGCCACAGGAAGCACTCAGCTAAAGCACTGCATGACGCCTTCCTCCAGGAAGAACAGGAAGACAGCCCAGGCTGTTCTGAGACATTCCTCCTGATCTCAGGTCGTTGCTGTCTTAGTTTTTTTTTTTGTTGCTCTGAAGGAACACTTGAGCCTCGGTAACTTCTAAAGAAAAGAGATCGGTTTGCCTCACAGTTCTGCAGGCTGTACTGGAAGCATGGCACCAGAATCTATTTCTCGTGATGGCCTCAGGCTGCTCCCACTCTGGCAGAAGGGAAGGAGGGTCTGTCTGTGCAGAGACCACAGAGATCACACGGCAAGAGAGAGAGTAAGGGGGAGAGGGAGCAATGGAGCTTCCAAGCTCTTTTTAACAACCAGCTGTCCAGGAACTAACAGAGGGGGAACTTGCTAACCCCGTCTCCTTGGGACAGCATTGATCTGTTCATGATGGATCCACCTCCATGACCCAAACACCTCTGAAGAGGCCCAACCTCCCACAATGGGGGTGAAATTTCAATGTGAGGTTTGAAGGGGTCAAACATCTCAACTAAAGTAGTTGTATCCTCAGCACGTTCTATGGTTACTATGAGAGCTATAATTGAGAAAGCAGGGGAAAGCTAGGTCTCCCGCCATTTGGGTGCTTGTCCTAAAGAGACGTTGTATGTGGTTACCTGCCAATCAAGAAATGCGAGACAATTCATAAAGAGGAACTGCTATGATTAGCTTCTTATTGGTGTCTCCTCTTCTTCCAGGTAACCCCAGACACCTGCATGTTCTGATTGGGACCTCAGTGGTCAAAATCCCTTTCACCATCCTCCTCTTCTTTCTCCTTCATCGCTGGTGCTCCAACAAAAAAAGTAAGTCTCACGAAGCAGAGGCCAGAGAGCTCAGGGCCATGTGGGGAAGCAGGATGGGAGCACTCAGGTGTGTGTTCCTCACCAGCAGGATGGTCCCTGGCCCAAGACAGGAGCCACAGAGGCAGGACTTTCTAGAGAGAGCACCAGATTCCCTTCCCCTGCCTTCAGCTCACAGACCGTTGCCTGATTCTGAACTGTACCCTCACGTCCCCTGCAGCCACTCACATCCAGGAGAAGGTTCCATGACAGGCAGAAAGTGGGAGATAGAATCAATGGGATGGGAACTCAGAGCTATTCATGGGATGGGTCCTTGAACTCAGAGAGATAGAATGTCTGAGTCTGCTGTTGGCAACTGAGGGACCTCAGGCACCTATGGCCTCCCCCTGTTTGTTGGTATCTGCTTATGAAATGAGGACCCAGAAGTGCCCTCCGAGCTCTTTTGTTGACTTCCGTCTTCTACAGATGCTGCTGTAATGGACCAAGAGCCTGCAGGGAACAGAACAGTGAACAGCGAGGTAGGTGCTCCTCGGCCCAGCCTCGTGGCTAGTCTTATTCCCAAAGAGTCCTGAAAAATGTGAGCACCCTCCCTCACTCAGCATTTCCCTCTCTCCAGGATTCTGATGAACAAGACCATCAGGAGGTGTCATACGCATAATTGGATCACTGTGTTTTCACACAGAGAGAAATCACTCGCCCTTCTGAGAGGCCCAAGACACCCCCAACAGATACCAGCATGTACATAGAACTTCCAAATGCTGAGCCCAGATCCAAAGTTGTCTTCTGTCCACGAGCACCACAGTCAGGCCTTGAGGGGATCTTCTAGGGAGACAACAGCCCTGTCTCAAAACCGGGTTGCCAGCTCCCATGTACCAGCAGCTGGAATCTGAAGGCATCAGTCTTCATCTTAGGGCATCGCTCTTCCTCACACCACGAATCTGAACATGCCTCTCTCTTGCTTACAAATGTCTAAGGTCCCCACTGCCTGCTGGAGAGAAAACACACTCCTTTGCTTAGCCCACAATTCTCCATTTCACTTGACCCCTGCCCACCTCTCCAACCTAACTAGCTTACTTCCTAGTCTACCTGAGGCTGCAATCACACTGAGGAACTCACAATTCCAAACATACAAGAGGCTCCCTCTTAACACAGCACTTAGACACGTGCTGTTCCACCTCCCTTCAGACTATCTTTCAGCCTTCTGCCAGCAGTAAAACTTATAAATTTTTTAAATAATTTCAATGTAGTTTTCCCGCCTTCAAATAAACATGTCTGCCCTCATGGTTTCGGTAACGAGACTCTTCTCTTGCCTAAGGCTTCCGGTGTTATCATTACCATGTCCACATAACCCCATCTGTTCTCCATTGGGTTCTCAGCCCTGGACTCTGAGCTTCTGGAAGCAGAATGGAGCCTGAATTGTCTCTGAGACTCCAATTTCCATCCAAAGATACAGCACATAGGAGGCTCCAAGGATCGTGAATCACATGAACAAGTGATATTCTTACTCTCTGCAGACCTGGAAAGCTGGCAGAGTCATTCCACGATGAAACATTTGTAGAGTCATAGGCCTTGTTAGTCTCATCTCCACGGGGACACATATCAACATATCATCTTTCATAATATAAATATACAGTCGGTCCTCCATATCTGTGGGGTTTACAGGTGTTTATTGAACCAACAATAAATCAAAAATATTTTGAGAAAAAAATCCCCGAAGTTTCAAGAAGCAAAAAACTATGTTGAATCGACACAAATTGAGTGGCGTGTAGGCTGTGTCAGGAATTATAAGTAATCAAGAGATGATTTCATGTATACAGGAGGATGTGCATGGGTTCTATGCAATTGCTATGCTATTTTTTTTTTTTGAGACAGTCTCACTCTCTCACCCAGGCTGGAGTGCAGTGGCGTGATCTCAACTCACTGCAACCTCCGCCTCCCAGGTTCAAGCGATTGTCTTCCCTCAGCCTCCCCAGTAGCCTCCCCTAGGATTACAGGCACGTGCCACCATGCACAGATAAATTTTTTTGTGTGTGTATTTTTAGTAGAGACGGGGTTTCAGAATGTTGGACCAGCTGGTCTTGAACTCCTGACCTTGTGATCTACCCAGCTCAGCCTCCCAAAGTGCTGGGATTACGGGCGTGAGCCACGGTGCCCAGCTTCACTATGCCATTTCATGCAAGGGGCTTGAGCATCTGCAGATTTTGGTATCTGAATGGGGATCCTGGAACCAATCACCCAGGTATAGTGAAGGACCATGGTATATAATTTTTATTTGTCAATCTTAAAAATAAAGCATAAAAAATTTACAACAACAAGATAAAAAATAAGAAGTGTTTTTATAGTGTGAGGATAAGTTTAGATTTATTTTTTCCTACGTGTAACCCTATGGTCCTGTGTTATTTGTTGAGAAAATATTCTATTCCACCTTAAACTACATGGCAGCCTTTGTCAACTATAAAGGGACTGTGTATCCACAGATGTATTTTAGACACAGTTTTCTGTCCAGTGGTTCTCTGTATCCCCTCTCATGAGGATGCTGCATTTTATATAAACTTATAGAACCCCTTAAAATTTGGTAACCTGAGTCCTCTGATTTGTTATTATAGGTTATTTAGTTTGCTTTTTTTTTTTTCTTGAGACAGACTCTTCCTCTGTCACCCAAGCTGGAGTTCAGTGGCTTGAGCTCAGCTCACTGCAACCTCCGCCTCCCAGGTTCAAGCTATTCTGATGCCTCTGGTTTAGTACTAGAAACTCAAGCAGGAAAATTAGAATGGCTTCTTGTCACAATTACTCTGATAATGTTAATAATACCTGTTAGACATTTTGCACATTACATATGAAGAAGAGTTTGAATCTCAGATAAAAACAAAAATACATCAAAAATCTTTAATGTAAGCACAGAATTCAATCATCTCGTGTATGAGAGGTTGGATCTGAGACGTCTTTTGAGTCTGGTCGTAGTGAAGGACGCAAGGTGTCAATTCTAGTGAGAACAATTTCCAGGAAGCCATGTTCCGCTCTTGAGCGAGCACCCACTGGGCCTCATGCAAGGTAGAAAGAGCCTGCGTACGTCACCCTCCCATGATGTGGTCAACATGTAAACTGCATGGGCAGGGCGCCAAATAACATCCTGTGCGCTGCTGAGCTGAGCTGGGGCGCGGCCGCCTGTCTGCACAGACAGCACCATGTCGCTCATGGTCGTCAGCATGGCGTGTGTTGGTGAGTCCTGGAAGGGAATCGAGGGAGGGAGTGCGGGGATGGAGATCGGGGCCCAGAGTTGGAGATATAGGCCTGGAAGTGGAGTTATGGGCCTAGAGATGGAGTGATGGGCCTAGAAGTGGAGATCTGGGCCTGGAGTGGAGATATGGGCCTGGAGGTTGAGATATGGGCCTGCAGTAGAGATATGGGCTTGTAGTGGAGACATGGGCCTGGAGATGGAGATATGGGCCTGGAGATGGAGATATGGGCCTGCAGTAGAGATAGGGGCCTGGAGTGGAGATATGGGCCTGGAGTGGAGATATGGGCCTGAAGTGGAGATATGGGCCTGGAGGTGGAGATATGGGCCTGGAGGTGGAGATATGGGCCTGGAGTGGAGATATGGGTCTGGAGGTGGAGATACGGGCCTGCAGTAGAGATATGGGCCTGGAGTGGAGATATGGGCCAGGAGTGGAGTTATGGGCCTAGAGGTGGATATCTGGGCCTGGAGTGGAGATATGGGCCTAGGAAGGAGATATGGGCCTGGGTGTGGAGATATGGGACTGGAGAGGTGATATGGGCCTGGAGTGGAGATATGGGCTTAGGGTGGAGTTCTGGGCCTGGGGCGGAGATATGGGACTGGATTGGAGATAGGGGCCTAGGGTGGAGATCTGAGCCTGGATTGGCGATATGGGCCTAGGGTGGAAATATCAGCCTGGAGTGGAGATATGGGCTTGGGGTGGGGATATGGGCCTGGAAACTGGGTCTCTGCACAGCCGACAGCCCTGTTCTTGGGTGCAGGTAGGCACTGAGGGTGAGTTTAACTTCAGCCCAGGAAGGGCCTGGCTGCCAAGACTCACAGCCCAGTGGGGGCAGCAAGGGAGGGCTGGTTCGCCTGCAGATGGATCGTCCATCATGATCTTTCTTTCCAGGGTTCTTCTTGCTGCAGGGGGCCTGGCCACATGAGGGTGAGTCCTTCTCCAAACCTTCGGGTGTCATCTCCCCACATAAGAGGATTTTCCTGAAACAGGAGGGAAGTCCTGTCGGGGAGTCTCTCATAAACTAGGAAGAGAGGACCCTGGGGTGCTCAGCCCACATTTCTGACCTCGCCTCCCTGGCCTCTCAACCCCTTGGCAGAGTCAAGTTCTGTGGGGACCAGGGTTAGACTGGGGTGCTCAAAGCTGGGGTGTGTGGTTGGGAAGTGGTAGGAACAGCAGATCCTCTGAGGACAAAGGTGTTACTCACACACTTCAGCGTTTCCATGATGGTAGGGGCTGCAGTGTGGCTGCTGTCATTCTACCAGAAGAGGTGGGAAACCACAGCCATGGCCCTGACATTCCAAATCCTCTGATGGGGGCTCAGTTGTTTATTTTCGTTCAGGCATCCGCTGATATCCATTCACAAAGGACATGCCCTCCACCTCATGTCTACCCTGTGTTGTTTTATGTGAGTAATCTTACAGTATCAAAATCTAGTAGGAGTCTCTTTACTCAGCACTTGCTCAAAGTTCTCAGCTGAGGCTTTTGTTGTAGGGAGACACCATGTCTTTGCGGGATGGGTCCTTCCTTCAGCCCTGGGCACCAAGGTGTGATAGTAGCCATAGAAACGTGGAAAGCGAGGAGAATCTTCTGAGCACAGGGAGGGAGGGGCAGTTCCACATCCTCCTCTCTAAGGCGGCGCCTCCTTCTCCCCAAGGTGGTCAGGACAAGCCCTTGCTGTCTGCCTGGCCCAGCCTTGTGGTGCCTCTAGGACATGTCATTCTTCGGTGTCACTCTTATCTTGGGTTTAACAACTTCAGTCTGTACAAGGAAGGTGGGGTGCCTGTCCCTGAGCTCTACAACAGAATATTCTGGAACAGCCTTTTCATGGGCCCTGTGACCCCCGCACAACAGGGACATACAGATGTCGGGGTTCACACACACACTCCCCCAGTGGGTGGTCAGCACCCAGCAACCCCCTGGTGATCGTGGTCATAGGTCAGAGGGCTCCTGTCTTGGATTCTCCTTGTCCCACCTCCTGAATCCCAGAGCTTCTGGTGGGCATGTCCTTGAGGGTCCCATCACGCAGGCCCTGACTGTATTTGTGGTAAAGGGGGATTGAATACAGGGAAATGGGTGCTGTGGTGGGAAGAATAATTGTCCCCAGTGATGACTACATTCTAATCCCTGGAGTCTGTGACTATGTATGTTATAGGGGAAGGGACTGAAGGGGAAGATGGAGCTCATGGGGAGACAGCCTGGACTGTCCCACTGGGCTCAGTGTAATCACAAGGGTGCACATGAAAGGAGGAGGAAGAGGGGAGTGGGGATTAGAGCAGTCCAGTGGAAGTCTTCACCAGCTTTGAAGGTGGAGGAAGGCCAAGAGCCATGAATGCAGGTGGCCTATAGAGGCTGGAAAAGTCAAGGAACTGATTCTCCAGAGTCTCCAGAGGGAACAAAGCCCTGCAGATGCCTTGATTTTAGCCCAGGAAAAATAGGGTCCAATTTCTGTCTCCAGTACTGGAAGGTGTCAGTGTGGTCTCTCCTGCTTCCATGCTTCTGATAATTTTGTACAGCAGCAACAGGAAACCAACACTGGAACCCAGGTCAAGGACAAGTTAAGAAACAACCCAAGGAAAGCCAGGCATGGTGGCAGGTGCATGTAATCCTAGCGACTCAGGAGGCTGAGGGCAGGAGAATCACTTGAACCCAGGAAACAGAGGTTGCAGTGAGCCTAGACCACACCACTTCACTCCAGCCTGGGTGAAGGAGTGAGACTCTGTCTCCAAAATTAATTAATTAATTAAAGAAACCAAAGAAGGAGAAGGTTGGCTACCCTGAGATCAGCAAGGGTGGGATGATGATGCCACCACCAGGCTCCATCCACATAGGGAGGGGTTGATACTCCTCCAACCAGCACCAGGAGCCAGCCTATGGAAGCTGGCACCATGGAGAAGGCACAGGCATGGCAAGAGTGGCTCCCAGTCCCCACCAGGAACAGGGTGTGTGGACACTGGTGCCTGCCTTATTCATCAGTTCATATCTTCTGCCAAGGATTGCAATTCATCCAAAAGAGATTGAACCAGGCTGATAAGAGCCTGGATGTGCAGCCTATCCTGGTTCCTCTTTCACCCCCACATAAACAGCAGGAAAGACATTAGTGTGAAATAGATACAACACCCCAAGAGATGAGGCTAAGCCCAGTGGGAAGGGAATCAGAGGCTACTAGAGACAGAGGGACAGAGAAGAGGGAGGGAGACAGATGGAAGGACCTGCACCAGGAGTTAAGGGCACAGAAAAGAACATGAAGACACAGAGAGGAAGGAGAGAGACAGACACCAGCAAGGGGAAGCCTCACTCATTCTAGGTGCCATGGATGGGATGATAAAGAGAGACACCTTCTAAACTCACAACCTCTCTTCCTAGGAGTCCACAGAAAACCTTCCCTCCTGGCCCACCCAGGTCGCCTGGTGAAATCAGAAGAGACAGTCATCCTGCAATGTTGGTCAGATGTCAGGTTTGAGCACTTCCTTCTGCACAGAGAAGGGAAGTTTAAGGACACTTTGCACCTCATTGGAGAGCACCATGATGGGGTCTCCAAAGCCAACTTCTCCATCGGTCCCATGATGCAAGACCTTGCAGGGACCTACAGATGCTACGGTTCTGTTACTCACTCCCCCTATCAGTTGTCAGCTCCCAGTGACCCTCTGGACATCGTCATCACAGGTGAGAGTGTCCGGACATTCTCATTGTCATTGGGCTGCAGAGTGAATGATCCACGACTTGGAACCCCCAGGTAGTTGTAAGGAAGATGAGCTTGGTATTCTTATGGAGAGAGACTGACTTGCTGAGGTTTGTACCAACAGAGACAGAGAAACAGGAGACACAAGTACAGACCAGGTGTCATAACGGAGGACAGACACAGGGGCCATACAGGGAGTTAGAAAAGACAGAAAGAGTTAAAAGAGACAGACAGACAGACATGTCCCAGAGAGAGGTGTCCCTCCATGCTGACTTTGCTCACAGACCTGGCACAGGTTAGAAGTTTCATTTCTGTTTTACCTCCACAAAGTGTTCTCTACCAGGAGAACCCAAGGACACCCATATTTCTGACCTGAGTTGGGCCCTGTGGCCTCAGGCCTTGTGGCACCTACAGGCCATGTTTATTCTGACACCTCTGCCTTCCATGTAATGGAGAGTAACCGTCCCAGGATATCATGGCCCCAGAACACCAACCCCTGTATGCTGTGTGAACTTGTGGTCTCCAGACTGGATTCTGAGGCTCACATTCCAAATAACCCCACATATGAAAGGATCACTGAGAGGCACAGAGAAAAATCAGGAACACCAAAAAGCAAAGACATAAACACACGGAGAATGAGCCAGAGGAAGGAGATTGAGAGACTCACAGACACATAAAGAGAGAGAAAAGAGGGCAGAGGAGTGGTGAGAATGATGGCAGGGAGCAGAGAAAAGCACTAAAATTAGAGTCCTGAGAGAGAGGCACAAGGACATAGAAACATGGAGATGTGGGGATGAATTGCAGAGATTCCAAAGAGAGCTAGAGAGACCGAGAGGCAGAGCAATACAGATGATAGATGGATAGATATAGATAGATGATAAATAGGTAGATGATAGATAATAGGTTAAAGATACATAGATGATGATTGATTGATTCATTAATAGATAATACATAGAGATGATGATGATGAAGACAGATAATACGTACAGATAGAGAGGCAGACAGAAATCATAGAGAGAGAGATGATACATACATATAAATAACAGATGATTGATGGATAGATAGACAACTGATAGATACATAGATGATATATAGATATAGATGACAGGTAGAGAATTTGTAGATAGGCACCGAATAGATAAATAGATAGATCGACAGATAATAGATAGAAATATGCAGAAAGTTATGAACAGGACACAACGTGAGAAACTTAGAATTTAAAAAAGTAACATCAAGTCAACCAACCCAAGGAGAGTCAGAGAGAATAAAACAATCCAAAAACGGAAAACATATCTAGAGGTGGGGAAGCGAGGTCAGAGACCTAGAGAGACAGAGAAGGTGGAAGAAGGAAATAGATATGAAGAGAGATGGGGTGGAGGGTGAGAGAGAGAGAGAGAGAGCATTAGGTCATAGAGCAGGGGAGTGAGTTCTCAGCTCAGGTGAAGGGAGCTGTGACAAGGAAGATCCTCCCTGAGGAAAATGCCTCTTCTCCTTCCAGGTCTATATGAGAAACCTTCTCTCTCAGCCCAGCCGGGCCCCACGGTTCTGGCAGGAGAGAGCGTGACCTTGTCCTGCAGCTCCCGGAGCTCCTATGACATGTACCATCTATCCAGGGAGGGGGAGGCCCATGAATGTAGGTTCTCTGCAGGGCCCAAGGTCAACGGAACATTCCAGGCCGACTTTCCTCTGGGCCCTGCCACCCACGGAGGAACCTACAGATGCTTCGGCTCTTTCCGTGACTCTCCATACGAGTGGTCAAACTCGAGTGACCCACTGCTTGTTTCTGTCATAGGTGAGGAAACCCCATATCTGTCTCATGTCCTATGATCCTAGAGCCTTAGCTGAGGAGCTTCCTGCTGATGATGGAGATAAGCATGGACAGATGCAGAGAGAAGACGAAGCTTGGGTGTGAGGGAGGGATCAGGGCACAGGATGGCAGACAGGGCACCTCCAAACCCTCCTACACGGCCTGCATGAAGGCCCGCGGCCAGGGCTCCAGGCACACAGGCAGATGGAGAAAGCGGTCAGGAGAGACCCAGAGGAGGGAGACTGGGCTCAGTTTGGGAAGATCAGAGGTTCCCTCAGCCCCTCAACATTACCCATTTCCCAGAAGCCCATCCTGGCCTCTCACCCACACAGGGATGTCATCACCAGCAACCCCTACACCCTTTACTTTTGTTTGAAGAAATATTTATTGAGGATAAATATACCTATATAGCTTACCACCTTTAACATTTTTTTTTTTTTTGAGGCAGAGTCTAGCTCTGTCCCCTATGCTGCAGTGCAGTGGCACAATCTCAGCTCACTGCAACTTCCGCCTCCTGGGTTCAAGTGATTCTCCTGCCTCAGCCACCTGAGTAGCTGGTGCTACAGGCGCGCACCACCACGCCAGGCTACTTTTTGTATTTTTAGTAGAGAGGTGGTTTCACCATGTTGGTCGAGCTGGTCTCCAACTCCTGACCACGTGATCCACCCGCATCTGCCTCCCAAAGTGCTGGGATTACAGGCATGAGCCACCACTCCCAGCCACATTTACCATTTTTAAGTGTAAAGTCTAGTGGTCATAAATACATTTATAAATATATATATATATATATGTATGTATATATATATACACACACATATATATACATATATATATGTGTATATATATATATATATATATATATATATATATATATATATATATATATTTTTTTTTTTTTTTTTACCCTCCACCCTTTTCTTCCTGGCCTCTGGAAGCCACCATTCTACTCTCTACCTTCATGAGATCCACCTTTTAGCTCTGTATATGGGTGAGAAATGGGAATCTTTGTAATGACTTGCAGTTCCATCCATGTGGCTGCAAATATCAGGATGTTATTCTTTCTATGGATGAGTAGTCTCCACTGTGCGTATGTACTACATTCTCTCTATCCATTCATCCACTGATGGGCAGGTAGGTTGACTCCACATCTTGGCTACTGTGAACAGTGCTGCACCAATCATACGAGTGCAGATATCACTTCGATATATTGATTTACTTTCCTTTGGATATAAACCCAGTAGTGAAATTGCTGGATACTATGAAAGTTCTCTTTTTAGTTATTCGTTTGTTGTTTTGTTTTTGTTTTTGAGACAGTTTCCCTCTGTGCCCAGGCTGGAGTACAAGTGATGTCATCTTGGCTCATTGCAACCTCTGCCTCCTGGGTTCAAATGATTTTCCTACCTCAGCCTCCCTAGTAGCTGGGATTACAGGTGCACGCCACCATGCCTGGCTACTTTTTGGTTTTTTTAGTATAGATGGGGTTTCCCCATGTTGGCTGGGCTGCTCTCAAACTCATGACCTCAACTGAGGTGTCCGCCTCGGTCTCCCAAAGTGCCGGGATTACAGGCATGATCCACCTCACCCAACCTCTTTTTAGTTCTTTAAAGGACTTCCACACTTTTCTCCGTAAAGGCTGTACTAATTTACACTCCTACCAACAGGGTATTAGGGTTCTCCTTTCTCTACCACTTTGGCAGGATTTCCTTTGCCTGTCTTGCAGCTAAAAGCCATTTTACTTTATTTCATTTTATTTTGAGATGGAGTTTCGCTCTTGTCACCCAGGCTGGAGTGCAGTGGTGCGATCTCGGCTCACCACAACCTCCACCTCCCAGGTTCAAGCGATTCTCCTGCCTCAGCCTCCCGAGTAGCTGGAATTACAGGCACACGCCACCACGCCCGACTAATTTTTGTATTTTTAGTAGAGACAGTGTTTCTCCATGTGGGTCAGACTGGTCTCAAACTCCCGACCTTATGAGATTCACCCACCTCAGGCTCTCAAAGATCTAGGATGACAGACGTGAGCCACCACGCCCGGCCTAAAAGCCATTTTAATGGGGTGAGATGAAAACTCACTTTGATTTTAATTTGCGTTTCTCTGATGATGAGTGATACTGAGCAGTTTTTCGTATGTGGGGAAATTTCATGTCTTTTGCTCCTGTTTCAATTAAATCATTTGTTTTATTGAGTTGTTTGAGCTTCTTATATTTCTAGTTATTAATCCCATCTCAGATGCATAGTTTGCACATATTTGCTCCCAATCTGTGGGTTGTCTCTTCACTTTGTTGGTTTATTTTTAGCGGTGCAGAAGTTGCTTAGCTTGAGGTAATCCCAATGGTCTATTTTTGCTTCGATTACTTGTGTTTTGAAGGTTTAAAACAAAATGTCTTCCTTCAGACAAATGTCCTGGAGCATTTCCCCAATATTTTCTTCTACGTGTTTCATAGGTTCAGGCCTTAGACTCACATCTTTAATCCATTTTCATTTGATTTTTGTGTATGGTGACAGGTAGAGGTGCAGTTTCATTCCTCTGCATGTAGATGTCCAGGTTTCCCTGCACTGTTTATTGAAAAGACTGTCCTTTCCTGATTGTGAGTTCTTGGCACCTTTGTCAAAGTCCATTGGATGGGCTGGGCATGGTGACTGACACCTGCAATTTCAGCACTTTGGGAGCCCAAGGCGGGTGGATCACCTGAGGCCAGGAGTTCAAGATTAGTCTGGCCGACGTGATGAAACATCGTCTCCACTAAAAATATATAAATTAGCTGAGCATGGTGGTCAGCACCTATAATACCACTACTCAGGAGTTTGAGGCCAGAGAATTGATTGAACCCAGGAGGCTGTGGTGGCAGTGAACCGAGATTGCACCTCTGCACTCCAGCCTGGGTGACAGAGCGAGACTCCATCTCAAAAGAAAAAAGAAAAAAACATTGGATGTAAATGCATGGATTATATTTGTGTTGTTCATTCTGCTCCATTGTTCTATGTGCCTTTCTTCATGCCAACATCATGCTGTCTTGCTTACTACAGCTCTGTAACATATTTTGAGATCAGGTAGTGTGATGCTCCTGTTTTCTCTTTATACCTTGAAGTCTCAAGACAATGGGCGTCACATACAAAAATTATGGAAAAAAGGATCCCAGGACTCCCAGGGCCCAATATTAGATAACAGAGTGTTGGCCATGAACCAACCTCAAAGATTTCCATTGAGTAGAGGACAGACACCCTCATTTCCTCACCTCTCTCCTGTCTCATGTTCTAGGAAACCCTTCAAATAGTTGGCCTTCACCCACTGAACCAAGCTCTAAAACCGGTGAGTACAGAACCCTCTTATATCCGCTTTTGGAAACCTGGGGAGGTAGAAACCTTCGATGCAGGCATTGACTCAGCATCTCGCAGCTCTGACATTGTACGCCTGTCTTCTACCATCTCCGAACTCCAGATACTCCAACAGCGAAAGGGATCTGGGCCCAACCTAGGGCTCAGTGAAATCTCTTAATCTCTCATTTTATGGAGCTGAGACCTCCTACAAGCTAGAAGAATGATTGCCAATCTGACATCCTTCTCAGGAAAAATGCAATGTTTGTTCTGCCTGCATTCCTAACTGGAGGATAAATTCCTGGGGGCTTGAGAGAGGGAAGGGAAGGGAACATCTGATGAGGGCGAGGTGTTTTAGAGAAGTTCCACTTGCCAAGGAATGAATTACTGTTGGTCATGAAGCAACCCTGGCTGACTCAGCAGAGCAACAGCCTTGCCGTAACAGAGAACGGAGCTCATGCACGCACACTTCGACTCACTGACTCATTCAGCCACGGCCCCATGCTCAGGCTGTGCAGTGCGGAACCTTTTCCTATTGTTGCCATAACAAATTTCCACAAGATTCGTGGGTGAAAACAAAACGGTTTTTTAATTATCTTACAGTGCTGTAGCTCAAAGTAGGAAGTGCATCTTACTGGGCTAAAATCAAGGTGACAGCAAGGCTGCCTTCCCTCTGAGGATTCCAGGCAAGAATCTGCTTCTCACTTGTCCCAGCTTCTAAAGGCTCCCAGTTCCTTGGCTCCTGGTCCCCTTCCTCCTTCCTCAAAACCCACAAAGACTGGTCACATCTCACATGGCATCACTCAGTGCCTTCTTC
This sequence comes from Homo sapiens, assembly GCF_000001405.40. Classification (NCBI taxonomy): domain Eukaryota; kingdom Metazoa; phylum Chordata; class Mammalia; order Primates; family Hominidae; genus Homo; species Homo sapiens. Next base: position 182,813 of record NT_187636.1, on the reverse strand, counting down.
CTTACCACACCTCTTTCTCTGAATGCTGCTCTCCCTTCTTCCTTATCTTTTGAAAACTTGGGGATTCTATTGGGTTCACCAAGATGAAAATCCCTCATAATCTCCTGGAAATCATCCAGGATACCCTTGTTTTAAGTTCAGCTGATTAGCAACCGTAATTCCATCTACAATCTTCATTCCTCCTTTCCATGTAAAATAACATATTCACAAGGTATGGAGGCTAGGACAGGGACATTTTGGGGTGGGACAGCATTCTCCTGCCTTCCACAAACAGTGAACAAGATGCATTTGGCCTCTGCCCTTGGGACACTGATATTGCAGATGGTTAAATGGGAGGGCAGAAAATGAATGCACAAGTGGATCTATAAATGAATGATCCATTGGGAAGCATCTGTGCATGAAATCTATTTTTTGTTTGTTCTTTTGTTTATTGAGACAGAGTTGCCCTCTGTCTTCCAGGCTACAGTGCAGTGTCACGATCTTGGCTCACTGCAACCTGCTTCTCCTGGATTCAAGTGATTCTCCTGCCTCCGCCTCTCGAGTAGCTGGGATTACAGGCAACTGCCACCGTGCCCGGCTAATTCTTTTTGTATATTTTTTGTAGAGAGGATGTTTCACCACGTTGGCCAAGCTTGTCTGAAACTCCCAACCTCAAGTGATCCGACCGTCTCAGCATGCCAAAGTAATGGGACTACAGGCGTGAGCCACTGTGCCCAGCCAGAATTCAAAATCAATAATAGATAATGCTGAGTGTATGATTTCAGGTGACAAAGAAGGTCTCACTATTCAGATATTTGTGACATTAATGAAAAACACGGATTGAACCCCTGAAAGATTGGCGGAAGGATTTTGCACACACAGCTGTCAGCCGTGAAGGCACAAAGGTGAAAACAATCTGATGTGGAAGGAAGAGGCTCTTCCTCAAATGCTGGGAATGATGTGGGGAGAATGACAAGATGACTGTGGAGAGACGGAGAGCACACTGGGTACACAGGAAACTAAGGAGGAACAAGGAGTGTGTGTTTGACACTCACAGCCATTGGATTCACCTCGGGGTAGCCAGGAATCCCTACATGATTAATATGACTGACATGAAAATAAGGGAGGCTCAGTTGCATAACTGGAATCTAGGAGACCGTGGAAAAGGCAATTGCCGCCCCACTGGTGAAATGTGGTGCTGATTTAGACACTAAATGAATGAAGTAGATGGATATAAGATAGGTTTGTGAGGTAGAATCATTGACTGGAAAGGCTTGCTGGGTTTGATTTTCCTACTTGTTTAATCCTCGCTTAATTAATTTCTTTCTGAGATTTATTCATCCTACACATAAATCAATACCTGGCAAAGGAGTGACAGATATATGAGGGGTGGTGGAAATGAAGAGACCTATTATAGCATAATATACAAGTCTGTGAACGGTGGCTCACGCCTGTAACCCAGCACTGCAGGAGGCCAAGGCGGGTGGATCACATGAAGTCAGCAGTTCGAGACCAGCCTGGCCAACATGGTGAAACCCTGTCTCTAGGAAAAACACAAAAATTAGCCGAGCATGGTGGTGCATCCCTGTAATCCCAGCTCCTACTCTGGAGGATGAAGCAGGAGAATGACTTCAACCCAGGAGGTGGAGGTTGCAGTGAGTGGAGGTTGCATCACTGCACTCCAGCCTGGGTGGCACAAGGAGACTCCGTCTCAAAAAATAAAAATAAGAAATGCATAAATATAAATATAATATAACACACGCAAATGACAAAGGGACCTGAATTCCAATCATGATTTTTCTATTTCTCTATAATTACTTCTTTGATCCTTTATCTTATCCATTAGGCAATGAGCCTAAAACCTCTTCCCTATTTGGCTTTCTGTGAGCATGAGATCATATAGAAAATGTGAAAGTCCGCTGAATCCTCCAGCACAGATCCTGGAATAGAGAAAGTGCTCTGGTCATCACAAAAAAAACTTGCCCACTCACCCAAATCCCCCACCTCACCCCTACTTCCAATCACCTGTGGAGATTCAGGTAGACCATGGGGAGGTAAACATTAACACTCCTTGGAGTGAGTCCAGATCTTGGAATCAGAGATCAGCGACAGCACTAGCTCCTGCTCCCCTTTCCTACTAATTCACAGGAGGACAGGTGGTATTGAAGCAATAGATGGCCGAGGGGGTGGTCCTTCCCCCAGCCTCTCGGGTAGAACAGCAGCCTAATATGTGTCTCCCGAGATCACAAAGAGCAGCAGGTTTCACACGGGCTTCAACACTATTTCCTGGCCGTTTGACATAAGAGAATTCTATTTCGCTTTTTTTATCTTGATTTCACTTTTGTTTTCTTTCCTTGGAGAATGCAAGTTGTTTGATTCAAGAATGCTGTGGATGTAGAAACCCTAAAGCACATTCGCTGTGAATCAATCCCAGTCCAGTCTTCCCAGAGAAGACTCTAAACACCTCCTGGACTGCACCTGGGCCTATGCCAATTCCTATCACTCACCGTCACTCCAGGGAGACAGAACACACAGAGAATACGTTACATAGGCAGGTTCATTACTAACAGATAAGCAGCGAGTGACAACAGAAACCTATATTTCAATGTGAGCCAGTCCCTCAAGGCTCAGAAAAGCTCCTCGGGACATATGGAGTCACCCCATTTGCAGTGTAGCTGCGGGAAGCCAGAAAGCAGCCCAGCCTGGGTTTTGTACCCTGGAGCCACAGGAAGCACTCAGCTAAAGCACTGCATGACGTCCTCCAGGAAGAACAGGAAGACAGCCCAGGGTGTTCTGAGACGTTCCTCCTGATCTCAGGAAGTTGCTGTCTTAGGCCATTTTTGTTGCTCTAAAGGAACACTTGAGCCTCGGTAACTTCTAAAGAAAAGAGATTGGTTTGCCTCACCGTTCTGCAGGCTGTACTGGAAGCATGGCACCAGCATCTATTTCTCGTGACGGCCTCAGGCTGCTCCCACTCTGGCAGAAGGGAAGGAGGGTCTGTCTGTGCAGAGACCACAGAGATCACACGGCAAGAGAGGGAGCAAGGGGGAGGGGGAGTGATGGAGCTTCCAAGCTCTTTTTAACAACCAGCTCTCCGGGAACTAATAGAGGGGGAACTTGCTAACCCCGTCTCCTTGGGACAGCATTGATGTGTTCATGATGGATCCACCTCCATGACCCAAACACCTCTCAAGAGGCCCAACCTCCCACAGTGGGGGTGAAATTTCAATGTGAGGTTTGAAGGGGTCAAACATCTCAACTAAAGTAGTCGTATCCTCAGCACGTTCTATGGTTACTATGAGAGCTATAACTGAAAAAGCAGGAGAAAGCTGGGTCTCCTGCCATCTGGGTGCTTGTCCTAAAGAGATGTTTTATGTGGTTACCTGTCAATCAAGAAATGCGAGACAATTCATAAAGAGGAACTGCTAAGATTAGCTTCTTATTGGTGTCTCATCTTCTTCCAGGTAACCCCCGACACCTGCACATTCTGATTGGGACCTCAGTGGTCATCATCCTCTTCATCCTCCTCTTCTTTCTCCTTCATCGCTGGTGCTCCAACAAAAAAAGTAAGTCTCACGAAGCAGAGGCCAGAGAGCTCAGGGCCATGTGGGGAAGCAGGATGGGAGCACTCAGGTGTGTGTTCCTCACAAACAGGATGGTCCCTGGCCCAAGGCAGCAGCCACAGAGGCAGGACTTTCTAGAGAGGGCACCAGACTCCCTGCCCCTGCCTTCAACTCACAGACCGTTGCCTGATTCTGAACTGTATCCTCATGTCCCCTGCAGCCACTCACATCCAGGAGAAGGTTCCATGACAGGCAGAAAGTGGGAGACAGAATCAATGGGATGGGAACTCAGAGCTATTCATGGGATGGGTCCTTGAGCTCAGAGAGATAGAATGTCTGAGTCTGCTGTTGGCAACTGAGGGACCTCAGCCACCTATGGTCTCCCCCTGTATGTTGGTATCTGCTTATGAAATGAGGACCCAGAAGTGCCCTCCGAGCTGTTTTGTTGACTTCCGTCTCCTACAGATGCTGCGGTAATGGACCAAGAGTCTGCAGGGAACAGAACAGCGAATAGCGAGGTAGGTACTCCTCGGCCCGGGCTCGTGGCTACTGTTATTCCCAAAGAGTCCTGGAAAATGTGAGCACCCTCCCTCACTCAGCATTTCCCTCTCTCCAGGACTCTGATGAACAAGACCCTCAGGAGGTGACATACACACAGTTGAATCACTGCGTTTTCACACAGAGAAAAATCACTCGCCCTTCTCAGAGGCCCAAGACACCCCCAACAGATATCATCGTGTACGCGGAACTTCCAAATGCTGAGTCCAGATCCAAAGTTGTCTCCTGCCCATGAGCACCACAGTCAGGCCTTGAGGGCGTCTTCTAGGGAGACAACAGCCCTGTCTCAAAACCGGGTTGCCAGCTCCCATGTACCAGCAGCTGGAATCTGAAGGCATGAGTCTGCATCTTAGGGCATCGCTCTTCCTCACACCACAAATCTGAATGTGCCTCTCACTTGCTTACAAATGTCTAAGGTCCCCACTGCCTGCTGGAGAAAAAACACACTCCTTTGCTTAGCCCACAGTTCTCCATTTCACTTGACCCCTGCCCACCTCTCCAACCTAACTGGCTTACTTCCTAGTCTACTTGAGGCTGCAATCACACTGAGGAACTCACAATTCCAAACATACAAGAGGCTCCCTCTTAACGCAGCACTTAGACACGTGTTGTTCCACCTTCCCTCATGCTGTTCCACCTCCCCTCAGACTAGCTTTCAGTCTTCTGTCAGCAGTAAAACTTATATATTTTTTAAAATAACTTCAATGTAGTTTTCCATCCTTCAAATAAACATGTCTGCCCCCATGGTTTCGGTAATGGGACTCTTTTCTTGCCTAAGGCTTCCGGTGTTATCAGTACCATGTCCATATAATCCCATCTGTTCCCCACTGAGTTCTCATCCCCGGACTCTGAGTTTCTGGAAGCAGGGTGGAGCCTCATTTGTCTCTGAGACTCCAATTTCCATCCAAAGATGTAGCACATAGGAGGTTCCAAGGATCACGAATCATATGAACAAGTGATACTCTTACTCTCTGCAGACCTGGAAAGCTGGCAGAGTCATTCCACAATGAAACATTTGTAGAATCATAGGCCTTGTTAGTCTCATCTCCATGGGGACACATATCAACACATCATCTTTCATAATATAAATATACGGTCACTCCTCCATATCTGCGGGGTTTACAGGTGTTTATTGAACCAAGTATAAATCAAAAATATTGAGAGAAAGTATCCACAGAGTTTCAAAAAGCATAACTATGTTGAATGGACACAAATGAAGCTGTGTGTAGGCTGTATCAGGAATTATAAGTAATCTAGAGATGATTTCATGTATACAGGAGGATGTGCATAGGTTATTTGCAAACTCTGTGCCATTTCATATAAGAGGCTTGAGCATCTACAGATTTTGGTATCTGAGTGGAGATCTCAAAACCAATCACCCACGAATAGTGAAGGATGACCGTATATGACTTTTATTTCTCAAATTTAAATATAAATCATAAAAAATGTACAACTAGATAAAAACTAAGAAGTGTTTTTATAGTGTGAGTTAGATTTATTTTTTCCTAGGTGTAACCAATTGGTTTAATATTATTTATTGAGAAGACATTCTATGCCACCTTAAACCACACGGCAGCCTTTGTCAACTCTAAAGGGACTGTGTGTACATGGATGTATTTTAGACACTGTTTCTGCTAAGGGGCTCTCTGTGTCCACACTCTTGATGATGCTGCACTTTATGTAGCCTTATAGAACCCTTTAAATTTAGTAGCCAGAGCCCTCTAATTTGTTATTATAGGCTGTTTGCTTTTTTTTTCTTGAGGCGGAGTCTTGCTCTGTCGCCCAGGCTGGACTGCAGTGACACAATCTCAGCTCACTGCAACCTCCGCCTCCCAGGTTCAAGCGATTCTCGTGCCTCAGCCTCTTGAGCAGCTGGCGTTACAGGTGCCTGCCACCAGGCACGGCTAATTTTTGGATTTTTAACAGAGACACGGTTTCACTATATTGGCCAAGCTGCTCTCAAACTCCTTATCTCAGTTGATCCGCCCACCTCGGCTTCCCAACGTGCTGGGGAAAACTTGATTTTCTATAGCATTATGTTACTGGATATTTCTGTAAAATTTAAAACGAGGGAGGGAGAGAGACAGACAGAGAGCAAACTCCAGAGTTGGGACTCTGGAATCTTGGGTCATGAGACAAATTTTAGATTAAACTACAAAACTCCAGAATTTACAGGTGTGGTTTTTGCTGATAAAGTACAATTCTAAGATTGTAAATAATTGCATAATCCTTCCCTGGGAATTTAAATCATTTTAGCTGGTTCTGCTGTAATACTAGAAATACAAGCATGAAAAATTCTAATGGTTTATTAGTCACAATGACTCCGAAAACATTAATAATACCTATTAGATACTTTGCATATTACACAGGAAGAAGAGTTTGAATCTCAGATAAAAACAAAAAAAATACATGAAAAGTCTTTCATGTTAGCACAGATTTTAGGCATCTCGTGTTCGGATAAAAATACATGAAAAGTCTTTCACGTTAGCACAGATTTTAGGCATCTTGTGTTCGGGAGGTTGGATCTGAGACGTGTTGTGAGTTGGTCATAGTGAAGGACGTGAGGTGCCAATTCTAGTGAGAACAATTTCCAGGAAGCCGTGTTCCGCTCTTGAGCAAGCATCCACTGGGCCTCATGCAAGGTAGAAAGAGCCTGCGTACGTCACCCTCCCATGATGTAGTCAACATGTAAGCTGCATGGGCAGGGCGCCAAATAACATCCTGTGCGCTGCTGAGCTGAGCTGGGGCGCGGCTGCCTGTCTGCACCGGCAGCACCATGTCGCTCATGGTCGTCAGCATGGCGTGTGTTGGTGAGTCCTGGAAAGGAATAGAGGGAGGGAGCGCGGGGATGGAGATCTGGGCCCAGAGGTGGAGATATAGGCCTGGAGGTGGAGTTATGGGCCTGGAGTGGAGATCTGGGCCTGGAGTGGATATATGGGCCTGGAGATGGAGTGATGGGCCTAGAAGTGGAGATCTGGGTCTGGAGTGGAGATATGGGCCTGGAGGTGGAGATATGGGCCTGGAGTGGAGATCTGGGCCTGGAGTGGAGATAGGAACCTGGAGGGGAGATATGAGCCTGGAGTGAAGATATTGGCCTGGGATGGAGATATGGGCCTGGAGTGGAGACATGGGCCTGGAGGTGGAGATATGGGCCTGGAGGTGGAGACATGGGCCTAGAGGTGGATATCTGGGCCTGGAGTGGACATATGGGCCTAGGATGGAGATATGGGCCTGGGTGTGGAGATATGGGCTTGGGGTGGAGATATGGGCCTGGATTGGAGATATGGGTCTAGGGTGGAAATATTGGCCTGGAGTGGAGATATGGGCCTGGAGTGGAGATATGGGCTTGGGGTGGGGATAGGGGCCTGGGGTGCGGATATGGGCCTGCAGGCTGGGTCTCTACACAGCCGACAGCCCTGTTCTTGGGTGCAGGCTGGCACTGAGGGTGAGTTTCCCTTCAGCCCAGCAAGGGCCTGGCTACCAAGACTCACAGCCCAGTGGGGGCAGCAAGGGAGTCCTGGTTTGCCTGCAGATGGATGGTCCATCATGATCTTTCTTTCCAGGGTTCTTCTTGCTGCAGGGGGCCTGGACACATGAGGGTGAGTCCTTCTCCAAACCTTCGGGTGTCATCTCCCCACATAAGAGGATTTTCCTGAAACAGGAGGGAAGCCCGGTGGGGGATTTTCTTATAAACAAGGATGAGGAGACCCTGGGGTGCTCAGCCCACAGTTCCGACCTTGCCCTCCCCAGCCTTCCTTTCCCTTGGCTGAGTCAGGTTCTGTGGGAACCCGGGAGGGTAGACTGGGGTCCTCCAAGCTGGGCTGTGCGGCTGGGATGTGGTGTCACTGGCAGAGGAAGGGAGCAAAGCAGTGCTAGGAACAGCAGGCCTCTGAGGACAAAGGTGTAACTCACACCCTCCAGCGTTTCCATGACGGTAGGGGCTGCAGTGTGGCTGCTGTCATTCTACCTCAGAGGTGGGGGAACCCCAGCCAGGGCCCTGACCTTCCAAATCCTCTGTTGGGGGCTCAGTTGTGTATTGTGGTTCACACATTGGCTGATATTCCATTCACAAAGAACATGCCCTCGACCCCATGTCTATTTGTGTTGTTTTATGTGAGTAATCTTGCAGTATTAAAATCTAGTAGGAGTCCCTTACTCAGCACTTGCTCAAAGTTCTCAGCTGACACTTTTGTTGTAGAGAGACGCCAAGTCTATGCGGGGTGGGTCCTTCCCGTAGCCATGGGCACCCAAGTGTGGTAGGAGCCTTAGAAACGAGGAAAGTGGGGAGAATCTTCTGAGCACTGGCAGGGAGGGGCGGCTCCACATCCTCCTTTCTAAGGTGGCGCCTCCTTCTCCCCCAGGTGGACAGGACAAGCCCTTGCTGTCTGCCTGGCCCAGCGCTGTGGTGCCTCGAGGAGGACATGTGACTCTTCTGTGTCGCTCTCGTCTTGGGTTTACCATCTTCAGTCTGTACAAAGAAGATGGGGTGCCTGTCCCTGAGCTCTACAACAAAATATTCTGGAAGAGCATCCTCATGGGCCCTGTGACCCCTGCACACGCAGGGACCTACAGATGTCGGGGTTCACACCCGCGCTCCCCCATTGAGTGGTCGGCACCCAGCAACCCCCTGGTGATCGTGGTCACAGGTCAGAGGACTCATGTCTGGGCTTCTCCTTCTCCCACTTCCTGAATCCCAGAGCATCTGGTGGGGGTGTCCACCAGGGTCCAATCATCCAGGCCCTGACTGTATTTGGTGTCAATGGGGATTGAATACAGGGGAATGGGTGCTGTGGTGGAAAGAGTAACTGTCGGCAGCATGGCTATATTGTAATCCTTGGAGCCTGTGACTATTTATGTTATAGGACATGGGACTGAAGGGGAAGATGGAGTTCAGGTTGTTGATGAGTTGACCTTGAGATGGGGAGACGACCTGGACTCTCCCACTGGGCTCAGTGTAATCACAAGGGTCCACATGAGAGGAGGAGGAAGAGGAGAGTGGGGATTAGAGCAGCGTAGTGGGAGGGAGAGTCCACCAGCCACTGCGGGCTTTGAAAGTGGAGGAAGGCCAGAAGCCACGGAATGCAGGTGGCCTTTAGGGGCTGGAGAAGTCAATGGAACTGATTCTCCCGAGTCTCCAGAGGGAATGCAGCCCTGCAGATGCCTTGATTGTAGCCCAGGAAGAACAGGGTCTGATTTCTGTCAACAGAAGTGTTCTCTCCCGCCGCCGTGTTTGTGATAATTTTCTGCAGCAACAACAGGAAACAACACAGGAATCCAGGTCAAGGACAAGTTAAAAAACCAAACAAGAGGGTTGGCTACCCTAAGGTCAGCAAGGGTGCACTGCTGATGCCACCACCAGGCTGGAGCTGCATAGGGAGGGATCCACAGGGAGAGTCGGGGGTGGAGGGTGAGAGAGAGAGAGAGCATTAGGTCATAGAGCAGGGGAGTGAGTTCTCAGCTCAGGTGTGAGGGGAGCTGTGACAAGGAAGAACCTCCCTGAGGAAACTGCCTCTTCTTCCAGGTCTATTTGGGAAACCTTCACTCTCAGCCCAGCCGGGCCCCACGGTTCGCACAGGAGAGAACGTGACCTTGTCCTGCAGCTCCAGGAGCTCATTTGACATGTACCATCTATCCAGGGAGGGGAGGGCCCATGAACCTAGGCTCCCTGCAGTGCCCAGCGTCGATGGAACATTCCAGGCTGACTTTCCTCTGGGCCCTGCCACCCACGGAGGGACCTACACATGCTTCAGCTCTCTCCATGACTCACCCTATGAGTGGTCAGACCCGAGTGACCCACTGCTTGTTTCTGTCACAGGTGAGGAAAGCCCATGCCTGTCCCATGTCCTGTGATCCTAGAGCCTTAGCTGAGGAGCTTCCTGCTGATGATGGAGAGAAGCATGGACAGATGCAGAGAGAACACGCAGCATGGTGTGAGGGAGGGATCAGGGCACAGGATGGCAGACAGGGCACCTCCAAACCCTCCTGCACGGCCTGCATGGAGGCCCGCGGCCAGGGCTCCAGGCACCCAGGCAGATGGAGAAAGTGGTCAGGACAGACCCAGAGGAGGGAGACTCGGCTCAGTTTGGGGAGATCAGAGGCTCCTCAGACCCTCAACCTTACCCATTTCCCAGAAGCCCATACTGGCCTCTCACCCACACAGAGATGTCATCACCAGCAACCCCTACACCCTTTTCTTTCCGTTTGAAAAAACATTTATTGAGGTTAAATGTAACTATATAATTTGCCACCTTTACCATTTTTAAAAGTAAAATCTAGTGGTCATAAATTCCTTTATATGCAGGGTGCAGTGGCTCACAGTTATAATCTCGGTGCTTTGAGAGGCCAAGGAAGGTGGATCATTTAAGATCAGAGGCTCGAGATCAGCCTGGCCAACATGAGGGAAATTCATCTTTACTAAACAGACAAGAAAAATTGGCTGGGCATGCTGGCATGCACCTGTATTCCTAGCTACATGGGAGGCTGAGGCAGGAGAAGTACGTAAGCCCAGGAGGCAGAGGTTGCACTGAGCTGAGATCAGGCCACTGCACTGCAGCCTGGGAGACAGAGAGAGATTCTGTCTCTAAATAAATAAATACATCTATATTCTTTTTTATTGTTGTTGTTACACTCCACCCTTTACTTCCTGCCCTCTGGTAGCCACCATTCTACTCTCTACCTTCATGAGATCCACCTTTTAGCTCCTGTATATGGGTGAGAAATGGGAATCTTTGCAATGACCTCCAGTTCCATCCATGTGGCTGCAAATGTCAGGATGTTATTCTTTCTACGGATGAGTACTCTCCACTGTGTGTGTGTACTACATTCTCTCTATCCATTCACCCACTGACGGGCAGGTAAGTTGACTCCACATCTTGGCTACTGTGAACAGTGCTGCACCAATCGTATGAGTGCAGATATCACTTCGATACACTGATGTCCTTCCCTTTGGGTTTACACCCAGTAGTGGAATTGCTAGATCCTATCAACAGGGTACCAGGGTTCTCCTTTCTCTACCACCTTGCCAGCATTCATTTTGTCTGTGTTTCAGATAAAAGCCACTTTAATGGGATGAGATGATAGCTCACTGTGATTTCAATTGGCATGATTAGTGATACTGAGCACTTTTTCATGTACATGTTCGCCATTTGTACGTTTTGTTTGTTGAGAAATGTCTGTTCAGGTCTTTTACTAATTGTTAAATTAAATTCATTGTTTTATACCGTTGCTTGAGTTTTATGTATATTCTAGTTATTAATCCCCTCTCAGATGCATACTTCACAAATATTTTCTCCCAATTTGTCTCTTCTTCACTTTGTTGGTTGCTTCCTTTGCGGTGCAGAAGCTGCTTACTTTGATGTAATCCCGAAGGTCTATTATTTTGTTTTGATTTCTTGTGTTTTTGAGATTTCAAATAAAATGTCTTTCCTCAGACAAATGTCCTGGAGCATTTCCCCACTCTTTCCTTTTAGACGCTTAATGGTTTCAGGCCTTAAGTGTTTCTTCCATTTTCATTTGATTTCTGTGTATGGTGAGAGGTAGAGGTGCAGTTTCATCAACTGCATGTAGATACCAGTTTTCCCTGCTCCATTTATTGAAAAGACCGTCGTTTCCTGATTGCAGGTTCTTGGCACCTACAATCGTCAAAGTCCATTGGATGTGAATGCATGAATTATATCTGTGTTCTTCATTCTGCTCCATTGCTCTAAGGGCCTTTATGCCAATGTCATGCTGTTGTGCTTACTACAGCTTTGTAACATATTTTTAAGTCAGGGAGTGTGAGGCCTCCAGCACCTGTTTTGTCTTTATACCTCGAAATCTCAGGACACTGGGCATCATTTAACAATGATGATGGAGAAGGGGACGCCAGGACTCCTAGGGCCCAACATTAGATAACAGAGTGTTGGCCATGAACCAACCTCAAAGATTTCCTTTGAGTAGAAGACAGGCATCCTCATTTCCTCACCTCTCTCCTGTCCTGTGTTCTAGGAAACTCTTCAAGTAGTTCATCTTCACCCACTGAACCAAGCTCCAAAACTGGTGAGTAAAGATCCCTCTTATCTCTGCTTTTGGAAACCTGGGGAGGTTGGTATCTTGGATTCAAGCATTGGCTCAGCACCTCCCAGCTCTGTGATTGTGGGCCTGTCTTCTAACATCTCTGACCCCCAGACACTACAACAGCGAAGGGTATCTGAGGACAGCAAAGGGCTCAGTGAAGTCTCTTCATTTCAAATTTCTGCAGCTGAGACCTCCTCCAAGCTAGACGGACGAGTACAAATCTGACATCCTTCTCAGGGATAATGTGGTGTTTTTTCTGCCTGCATTCCAAATTGGAGGATAAATTCGAGGGGACTTGAGAGAGGGAGGGGAAGGGAACATCTGATGAGGGAAAGGTGATTTAGAGAAGTTCCACTTGCCAAGGAATGAGCCCCTGTTGGTCATGATGCGACCTTGGCTGAGTCAGCAGAGCAAGAGCCTTGCAGTAAGAAGGAACGTAGTTCATCCACGAATATGACACTTCCACTCACTCACTTATTCAGCCACTGCCCTGTGCTCTGACTGTACAGTGTGGAACCCTTTCCTGCTGTTGCCATAATAAATCTCCACAAACTTCATGGATGACAACAACACAGCTTTTAAAATTATCTTACAGTGTTATAGCTCAGAAATATGAAATGCATTTCACTGGGCTAAAATCAAGGTGACTGCGAGGCTGCCTTTTCTCTGAAGGTTCCAGGCGAGAATCGGCTTTTCACATTTCCCAGCTCCCAGAGGTTCCCACGTTCCTTGGCATCTGGTCCCCATCCTCCTTCCTCGAAGTCCACAAAAGCTCGTCACATCTCTCACGTGGCATCACTCAGATCCCTCTTCCTTACCTCACCTCTTTCTCTAAGTGTTGCTCTGACTTTTTCTTCCTCTTTTAAAGACTTTGGGATTCTATTGAGTTTACCAAGATAATCCATCACAATCTCCCTAAAATCACCCAAGATAACCTCTTTTTAAGTTCAGCTGATTAGCAACCATAATTCCATCTGCAATCTTTATTCCTCCTTTCATGTAAAATAACATATTCACAAGCTATGGAGGCTAGGACAGGGACATTTTGGGGGTGGGCCAGCATTCTCCTGCCTTCCACAAATGGTAAACACGATGCATTTGGCCTCTGCTCTTAGGACACTGACATTGCAGATGGGCAAATGGGAGGGCAGAATATGAATGCACAAGTGGACCAGTAATGATTGATCCATTGGGAAGCATCCGTGCATGAAATCTATTTACCTATTTATTTATCTATTTATCTATTTATGTATTTATTTATTTGCGGCGAAGTCATTCTCTGTCCCCGGGCTGGAGTGCAGTGGCATGACCTCAGCTCACCACAACCTCCGCCTCCCGGGTTCAGGCGATTCTCCTGCCTCAGCCTCCTGACTAGTTGTGATTCCAGTCCCCTCCACCACACCCAGCTAATTTTCTTTTATATTTTTTAGTAGAGATGGAGTTTCACCATGTTGCGCAGATTGTCTCCAACTCCCAACCTCAAGTGATCCGACCGTCTCAGCATCCCAAAATGCTGGGACTCAAGGCGTGAGCCACTGCGCCCAGCCGAAATTTAAAATAAATAATAAAGAATTCTAAGTGTATAATTTCAGGAGACAGAGAAAGTCTCACTAATCAGATAATATTTGTGACCATAATGAAAAAAAAAAGTAGATTCAACCCCTGGAAGATGGGCGGAAGGATTTTCCACACACAGCTGTCAGCCGTGAAGGCACAAATGTGAAAACAATCTGATGTGGAAGGAAGAGGCTCTGCATTCAAATGCTGGGAATGACGTGGGGAGAATGACAAGATGACTGTAGGGAGACGGAGAGCACACTGGGTACACAGGAAACTAAGGAGCAACAAGGAGCGTGTGTTTGACACTCACAGCCATTGGATTCACCTCGGGGTAACCAGGAATCCCTACATGATTAATATGACTGACATGAAAATAAGGGACGCCCAAGTGCGTAACTGGAATCTAGGAGACCGTGGAAAAGGCAATTCCCGCCCCACTGGTGAAATGTGGTGCTGATTTAGACACTAAATGAATGAAGTAGATGGGTATAAGATATGTCTGTGAGGTAGAATCATTTGTAGGGAGGTCTTGCTGGATTTGATAATGCCTACTTATTTAATTTTGAATATATTAATTTCTTTCTGAGATTTATTTTTCCTACATGTAAATCAATATCTGGCAGAGGAGTGATAGATAGATGAGGGGTGGTGCAAATGAAGGGACTTATTATAGCATAATATACAAGTCTGTGAATGGGAGCTTACGCCTGTAACCCAACACTTTGGGAGGCCAAGGCGTTTGGATCACTTGAGGTCAGGAGTTTGAGACCAGCCTGGCCAACATGGAGAAACCCCATGCTCTTTTTAGCAACCAGTCCTAGGGACCTCATGGAGAACTTGCCAACCACGTCTCATGGGGACAGCATTAATGTATTCATGATGGATCCACCCCCATAACTGGAACGTCTCTCAATAGGCCCAGCCTCCCACACTGCGAGATAAGTGTCAACGTGAGGTTTGGCGGGGTCAAACATTCAAACTATAGCAGTGGTATCCCCAGCATGTTCTCTGATTATTTTGAGAACTATAACTGAGAAAGCAGGAGAAAGCTGGGTATCCTGCCATCGGGGAACTTGTCCTAAACAGATGTTGTATGTGCTTAGCTGGCAACCAAGAAATGAGAGACAATCCATAAAGAGGAACTGCTATAATTAGCTTCTTATTGGATTCCCACCTTCCCCCAGGTATCCGCAGACACCTGCACATTCTGATTGGGACCTCAGTGGCTATCATCCTCTTCATCATCCTCTTCTTCTTTCTCCTTCATTGCTGCTGCTCCAACAAAAAGAGTAAGTCTCACGAAGCAGAGGTCAGAGAGCTCAGGACCATGTGGGGAAGCAGGATGGGAGCACACTGGTGTGTGTTCCTGACTGGCAGGATGGTCCCTGGACCAAGGCAGGAGCCACAGAGGCAGGGCTTTCTAGAGAGAGCACCAGACACCCTGCCCCTGCCTTCAGCTCACAGACCATTGCCTGATTCTGAACTGTATCCTCACGTCCCCTGCAGCCACTGACATCCAGGAGAAGGTTCCATGACAGGCAGAAAGGGGAGACAGAATCACTGGGATGGGAACTCAGAGCTATTCATGGGATGGGTCCTTGAGCTCAGAGAGATAGAATGTCTGGGTCTGGCTGATGACAGCTGAGGGACCTCAGGCACCTACGGCCTCCCGCTGTGTGTTGGTGTCTGCTCATGAAATGAGGACCCAAAAGTGCCCTTCCAGCTGTTTTGATGACTTCTATCTCCTACAGATGCTGCTGTAATGGACCAAGAGCCTGCCGGGGACAGAACAGTGAACAGGGAGGTAGGTTCTCCTCAGCCCAGCCTCATGGATTGAGTCTCATTCCCTAATAGTCTTGAAGAATGTGAGCACCCTCCCTCACTCAGCATTTCCCTCTCTCCAGGACTCTGATGATCAAGACCCTCAGGAGGTGACATATGCACAGTTGGATCACTGCGTTTTCACACAGACAAAAATCACTTCCCCTTCTCAGAGGCCCAAGACACCTCCAACAGATACCACCATGTACATGGAACTTCCAAATGCTAAGCCAAGATCATTGTCTCCTGCCCATAAGCACCACAGTCAGGCCTTGAGGGGATCTTCTAGGGAGACAACAGCCCTGTCTCAAAACCGGGTTGCTAGCTCCCATGTACCAGCAGCTGGAATCTGAAGGCATCAGTCTTCATCTTAGGGGATCGCTCTTCCTCACACCACAAATCTGAACATGCCTCTCTCTTGCTTACAAATGTCTAAGGTCCCCACTGCCTGCTGGAGAGAAGACACACACCTTTGCTTAGCCCACAATTCTCTATTTCACTTGACCCCTGCCCACCTCTCCAACTGAACTGGCTTACTTCCTAGTCTACTTGAGGCTGCAATCACACTGAGGAACTCACAATTCCAGACATACAAGAGGCTCCCTCTTAACATGGCACTGAGACACGTGCTGTTCCACCTTCCCTCATGCTGTTTCACCTTTCCTCAGACTATTTTCCAGCCTTCTGTCAGTCAGCAGTGAAACTTATAAAATTTTTTGTGATTTCAATGTAGCTGTCTCCTTTTCAAATAAACATGTCTGCCCTCATTGCTTTAGGTAATGTGACACTATTCGCTGAAAGAAACCGCTGTTATCATTACCATGTCCACATAACCCCATCTGTTATCCACTGGGTTCTCTCCCCTGGACTCTGAGCTTCTGGAAGCAGGGTGGAGCCTCATTTGTCTCTGGGACTCCAATTTCCATCCAAAGATGCAGCACATAGGAGGTTCCAAGGATCATGAATCACATGAACAAGTGATATTCTTACTCTCTGCAGACCTGGAAAGCTGGCAGAGTCATTCCACGATGAAACATTTGTAGAGTCATAGGCCTTGTTAGTCTCATCTCCATGGGGACACATATCAACACATCATCTTTCATGCTATATATATATATACAGTCGCTCCTCCGTATCTGTGGGGTTTACAGGTGTTTATTGAACCAACTATAAATAAAAAATATTCAGAGAAGAAAATCCACAAACTTTCAAAAAGCAAAACTATGTTGAAGGGACACAAATGAAGCAGTGTGTAGGCCATATCAGGAATTATAAGTAATCTAGAGATGATTTCATGTACACAGGAGGATGTGCATGGGTTATATGCAAATGCTGTGCCATTTCATGTAAGAGGCTTGAGCATCTGCAGATTTTGGTATCTGAGTGGAGATCCTGAAACCAATCACCCAGGAATAGTGAAGGATGACCGTATAAAACTGTTATTTCTCAATTTTAAATATAAATCATAAAAAAATTATAAACTAGATAAAAACAAGAAGTGTTTTTATAGTGTGAGAATAAGTTTAGATTTATTTTTTCCTACGTGTAACCCTTTGGTTTAATATTATTTATTGAGAAGACATTCTATGCCACCTTAAACCACAGGGCAGCCTTTGTCAACTCTAAAGGGACTGTGTGTACACGGATGTATTTTAGACACTGTTTCTGCTAAGGGGCTCTCTGTGTCCACACTCTTGAGGATGCTGCACTTCATGTAGCCTTATAGAACCCTTTAAATTTAGTAGCCAGAGCCCTCTAATTTGTTATTATAGGCTACTTGCTATTTTTTTTTTCTTAAGGCGGAATCTTGCTCTGTCACCCAGGCTGGACTGTAGTAGTGCAATCTCAGCTCACTGCAAACTCCGCCTCCCAGGTTCAAGCGATTCTCGTGCCTCAGCCTCTTGAGTAGCTGGCATTACAGGTGTCTGCCACCAGGCACGGCTAATTTTTGAATGTTTAGCAGAGACACGGTTTCACTATGTTGGCCAGGCTGCTCTCAAACTCCTCATCTCAGTTGATTCGCCCACCGCGGCTTCCCAACATGCTGGGGGAAACTTGATTTTCTATAGCATTATGTTACTGGATATTTCTGTAAAATTTAAAATGAGGGAGGGACAGAGACAGAGAGAGAGCAAACTCCAGAGTTGGGACTCTGGAATCTTGGGTCATGAGACAAATTATAGATAAAACTATAAAAATCCAGAATTTACATGTGTGGTTTTTGCTGATAAAGTACAATTCGAAGATTGTAAATAATTGCATAATCCTTCCCTGGGAATTTAAATCATTTTAACTGGTTCTGCTGTAATACTAGAAATACAAGCATGAAAAATTCTAATGGTTTATTAGTCACAATGACTCTGAAAACATTAATAATACCTATTAGATATTTTGCATATTACACATGAAGAAGAGTTTGAATCTCAGATAAAAACAATAAAAATACATGAAAAGTTTTTCACGTTAGCACAGATTTTAGGCATCCTGTGTTCCGGAGGTTGGATCTGAGACGTGTTTTGAGTTGGTCATAGTGAAGGACACGAGGTGTCAATTCTAGTGAGAACAATTTCCAGGAAGCCGTGTTCTGCTCTTGAGCGAGCACCCACTGGGCCTCATGAAAGGTAGAAAGAGCCTGCGTACGTCACCCTCCCATGATGTGGTCAACATGTAAACTGCATGGGCAGGGAGCCAAATAACATCCTGTGCGCTGCTGAGCTGAGCTAGGGGTGCGGCCGCCTGTCTGCTCCGGCACCACCATGTCGCTCATGGTCATCAGCATGGCATGTGTTGGTGAGTCCTGGAAGGGAATAGAGGGAGGGAGCGCGGGGATGGAGATCTGGGCCCAGAGGTGGAGATATAGGCCTGGAGGTGGAGTTATGGGCCTGGAGTGGAGATATGGGCCTGGAGGTGGAGATATGGACCTGGAGTGGAGATATGAGCCTGGAGTGGAGATATGGGCCTAGAGTGGAGATATGGGCCTGGAGGTGGAGATCTGGGCCTGGAGTGGAGATCTGGGCCTGGATTGGAGATATGGGCCTGGAGTGGAGATATGAGCCTGGAGTGGAGATATGGCCCTGGAGTGGAGATAGGGGCCTGGAGTGCAGATATGGGCCTGGAGTGGAGATGTGGGTCTGGAGTGCAGATATGGGCCTGGAGGTGGACATAAGGGCCTGGAGTGGAGATATGGGCCTAGAGTGGAGATATGAGCCTGGAGATGGAGATATGGGCCTGGAGTGGAGATATGGGCCTGGAGGTTGGAGATATGGGCCTGGAGTGGAGATATGGGCCTGGAGCGGAGATATGGGCGTGGGGTGGAGATATGGGCCTTGAGTGGAGATATGGGACTGAAGTGGAGATATGGGTGTGGGGTGGAGATATGGGACTGGAGTGCAGATATGGGCATGGGGTGGAGATATGGGACTGGAGTGGAGATATGGGCGTGGAGTGGAGATATGGGACTGGAGTGGAGATATGGGCGTGGGGTGGAGATATGGGCCTGGAGTGGAGATATGGGCGTGTGGTGAAGATATGGGCCTGGAGTGGAGATATGGGCCTGGAATGGAGATATGGGCGTGGGGTGGAGATATGGGACTGGAGTGGAGATATGGGCCTGTTGTGGAGATATGGGCTTGGAGTGGAGATATGATCCTGGAATGTAGTTATGGGCCTGGAGGTGGAGATCTGGGCCCGGGGTGGAGATATGGGCCTGGAGTGGAGATATGGGCCTGGAGAGGAGATATGGGCCTGGAGTGGAGATATGGGCCTGGACTGGAGTTATGGGCCTGGGGTGGAGATCTGAGCCTGGATTGCAGATGTGGGCCCAGATTGGCTATATGGGCCTAGGGTGGGAATATCAGCCTGGAGTGGAGATATGTGCCTGGAGTGGAGATATGGGCTTGGGGTGGGGATATGGGCCTGGAGGCTGGGTCTCTGCACAGCCGAGAGCCCTGTTCTTGGGTGCAGGTAGGCACTGAGGGTGAGTTTCCCTTCGGCCCAGGAAGGGCCTGGCTACCAAGACTCACAGCCTAGTGGGGATAGCAAGGGAGGCCTGGTTTGCCTGCAGATGGATGGTCCATCATGGTCTTTCTTTCCAGGGTTCTTCTGGCTGCAGGGGGCCTGGCCACATGAGGGTAAGTCCTTCTCCAAACCTTAAGGTGTCATCTCCCCACATAAGAGGATTTTCCTGAAACGGGAGGGAAGTCCTGTCGGGGAGTCTCTCTTAAACTAGAAAGAGGGGACCCTGGGGTGCTTGGCCCACAGTTCCGACCTCGCCTCCCCAGCCTTTCATTTCCTTGGCAGAGTCAAGTTCTGTGGGGACCAGGGTTACACTAGGGTGCTCAAAGCTGGGTTGTGTGGTGGGGAAGTGGTAGGAACAGCAGATCCTCTGAGGACAAAGGTGTTACTCACACACTTCAGCGTTTCCATGATGGTAGGGGCTGCAGTGTGGCTGCTCTCATTCTACCAGAAGAGGTGGGAAACCACAGCCATGGCCCTGACATTCCAAATCCTCTGATGGGGGCTCAGTTGTTTATTTTCATTCAGGCATCTGCTGATATTCCATTCTCAAAGGACATGCCCTCCACCCCATGTCTACCCTGTGTTGTTTTATGTGAGTAATCTTACAGTATTAAAATCTAGTAGGAGTCTCTTACTCAGCACTTGCTCAAAGTTCTCAGCTGACATTTTTGTTGTAGGGAGACACCTTGTCTTTGTGGGATGAGTCCTTCCTTTAGCCCTAGGCACCAAGGTGTGATAGCAGCCATAGAAATGTGGAAAGTGGGGAGAATCTTCTGAGCACAGGGAGGGAGGGGCGGCTGCACATCCTCCTCTCTAAGGTGGCGCCTCCTTCTCCCCAAGGTGGTCAGGACAAGCCCTTGCTTTCTACCTGGCCCAGCCTTGTGGTGCCTCCAGAACATGTGACTCTTCGGTGTCACTCTAATCTTGGGTTTAACAACTTCAGTCTGTACAAGGATGATGGGGTGCCTGTCCCTGAACACTACAACAGAATATTCTGGAAAAGCCTTTTCATGGGCCCTGTGACCCCGTCACACACAGGGACCTATAGATGCCGGGGTTCACACCCACACTCCCCCAGTGGGTGGTCGGCACCCAGCAACCCCCTGCTGATCATGGTCACAGGTCAGAGGGCTCCTGTCTGGGATTCTCCTTGTCCCACCTCCTGAATCCCAGAGCTTCCGGTAGGCATGTCCTTGAGGGTCCCTTCACGCAGGCCCTGACTGTATTTGGGGTAAAGGGGGATTGAATACAGGGAAATGGGTACTGTGGTGAGAAGAATAATTGTCCCCAGTGATGACTACATTCTAATCCCTGGAGTCTGTGACTATTTATGTTATAGGGGAAGGGACTGAAGGGGAAGATGGAGCTCAGGTTGTTGATGAGTTGACCTTGAGATGGGAGAAGGCCTGGACTGTCCCCCTGGGCTCAGTGTAGTCACAAGGGTCCACATGAAAGGAGGAGGAAGAGGAGAGTGGGGATTAGAGCAGCATAATGGGAGTCTCCATCAGCTTTGAAGGTGGAGGAAGGCCAGGAGCCATGAATGCAGGTGGCCTATAGAGGCTGGAAAAGTCAAGGAACTGATTCTCCTGAGTCTCCAGAGGGAACGAAGCCCTGCAGGTGCCTTGATTTTAGCCCAGGAAAAACAGGGCCCGACTTCTGCCTCCAAAAATGGAAGGGGTCAGTGTGCTCTCTCCTGCTGCCATGCTGCTGATAATTTTCTACAGCAGCAACAGGAAACCAACACCGGAACCCAGCTCGAGGAAAAGTTAAGAAAGGACACAAGGATAGCCGGGCGTGGTGGCAGGTGCATGTAATCCTAGCGACTTGGGAGGCTGAGGGCAGGAGAATCACTTGAACCCAGGAGACAGAGGTTGCAGTGAGCCTAGACCACACCACTTCACTCCAGCCTGGGCAAAGGAGTGAGACTCTGTCTCCAAAATTAATTAATTAAAGAAACCAAACAAGGAGAAGGTTGGCTACACCAAGATCAGCAAGTGTGGGATTATGATGCCACCACCAGGCTCCATCCACATAGGGAGCGGTTGATACTCCTCCAACCAGCACCAGGAGCCAGGCTATGGAAGCTGGTACAGGCATGGCAAGAGTGGCTCCCAGTCCCCACCAGGAAAAGGGTGTGTGGACACTGGTGCCTGCCTTACTGTTCAGTTCATACCTCCTGCCAAGGATTCCAATTCGTCCAAAAGAGATTGAACCAGGCTGCTAAGAGCCTGGATGTGCAGCCTATCCTGGTTCCTCTTCCACCCCCACATAGACAGCAGGAAAGACATTAGTTCAAAATAGATACAACAGCCGAAGAGATGAGGCTGAGCCCAGCGGCAAGGCAATCAGAGGTTACTAGAGACAGAGGGACAGAGAAGAGGGAGGGAGACAGATGGAAGGACCTGCACCAGGAGTTATGGGCACAGAAAAGAACATGAAGACACAGAGAGGAAGGAGAGAGACAGACACCAGGGAGGGGAAGCCTCACTCAATCCAGGTGCCATGGATGGGATGATAAAGAGAGACACCTTCTAAATTCACAAACTCTCTTCCTAGGATTCCGCAGAAAACCTTCCCTCCTGGCCCACCCAGGTCGCCTGGTGAAATCAGAAGAGACAGTCATCCTGCAATGTTGGTCAGATGTCATGTTTGAGCACTTCCTTCTGCACAGAGAGGGGACGTTTAACGACACTTTGCGCCTCATTGGAGAGCACATTGATGGGGTCTCCAAGGCCAACTTCTCCATCGGTCGCATGAGGCAAGACCTGGCAGGGACCTACAGATGCTACGGTTCTGTTCCTCACTCCCCCTATCAGTTTTCAGCTCCCAGTGACCCTCTGGACATCGTGATCACAGGTGAGAGTGTCCAGACATTCTTCTCATTGTCATTCGGACACAGAGTGAATGATCCAGGACTTGGAGGCCCAGGTGGTTGTAAGGAAGATGAGCTTGGTATTCTTATGGAGAGAGACTGACTTGGTGAGGTCTGTACCAACAGAGACAGAGAAACAGGAGACACAAGTACAGACCAGGTGTCATAACAGAGGACAGACACAGGGGCCATTCCGAGAGTTAGAAAAGACAGAAGGAGTTAAAGGAGACAGACAGACAGACATGTCCCAGAGAGAGGTGTCCCTCCATGCTGACTTTGCTCAGAGACCTGGCACAGATTACAAGTTTCATTTCTGTTTTACCTCCACAAAGTGTTCTCTACCAGGAGAACCCAAGGACACCCATATTTCTGACCTGAGTTGGGCCCTGTGGCCTCAGGCCTTCTGGCACCTACAGATGCCGTGTTTATTCTGACACCTCTGCCTTCCAAGTAATGGAGAGTAATCGTCCCAGGATATCATGGCCCCAGAACACCAACCCCTGTATGCTGTGTGAACTTGTAGTCTCCAGACTGGATTCTGAGGCTCACATTCCAAATAACCCCACATATGAAAGGATCACTGAGAGGCACAGAGAAAAATCAGGAACACCAAAAAGCAAAGACATAAACACACAGAGAATGGGCCAGAGGAAGGAGATTGAGAGACTCACAGACACATAAAGAGAGAGAAAAGAGGGCAGAGGAGTGGTGAGAATGATGGAAGGGAGCAGAGAAAAGCACTAAAATTAGAGTCCTGAGGGAGAGGCACAAGGACATAGAAAGATGGAGATGTGGGGATGAATTGCAGAGATTCCAAAGAGAACTAGAGAGACCGAGAGGCAGAGCAAGACAGATGATAGATGGATAGATATAGATAGATGATAAATAGGTAGATGATAGATACTAGGTTATAGATACATAGATGATGATTGATTGATTCATTAATAGATGAGACGTAGAGATGATGATGAAGACAGATAGATAATACATAGAGATAGAGAGGCAGACAGAAGTCATAGAGAGAGAGATGATACATAGATATAGATAACAGATGATTGATGGATAGATAGACAAGTGATAGATACATAGATGATATATAGATATAGATGACAAGTAGAGAATTTGTAGATAGGCACCGAATAGATAAATAGATAGATCAACAGATAATAGATAGAAATATGCAGAAAGTTATGAACAGGACACAAAGTGAGAAACTTAGAATTTAAAAAAGTAACATCAAGTCAACCAATCCAAGGAGAGTCAGAGAGAATAAAACAATCCAAAAACGGAAAACATATCTAGAGGTGGGGAAGCGAGGTCAGAGACCTAGAGAGACAGAGAAGGTGGAAGGAGGAAATAGACATGAAGAGAGATGGGGTGGAGGGTGAGAGAGAGAGAGAGAGAGCATTAGGTCATAGAGCAGGGGAGTGAGTTCTCAGCTCAGGTGAAGGGAGCTGTGACAAGGAAGATCCTCCATAAGGAAAATGCCTCTTCTCCTTCCAGGTCTATATGAGAAACCTTCTCTCTCAGCCCAGCCGGGCCCCACGGTTCTGGCAGGAGAGAGCGTGACCTTGTCCTGCAGCTCCTGGAGCTCCTATGACATGTACCATCTATCCACGGAGGGGGAGGCCCATGAACGTAGGTTCTCTGCAGGGCCCAAGGTCAACGGAACATTCCAGGCCGACTTTCCTCTGGGCCCTGCCACCCAAGGAGGAACCTACAGATGCTTCGGCTCTTTCCATGACTCTCCCTACGAGTGGTCAAAGTCAAGTGACCCACTGCTTGTTTCTGTCACAGGTGAGGAAAGCCCATGGCTGTCCCATGTCCTATGATCCTAGAGCCTTAGCTGAGGAGCTTCCTGCTGAGGATGGAGAGAAGCATGGACAGATGCAGAGAGAAGATGCATCCTCGGTGTGAGGGAGGGATCAGGGCACAGGATGGCCGACAGGGCACCTCCAAACCCTCCTACATGGCCTGCATGGAGGCCCGCAGCCAGGGCTCCAGGCACCCAGGCAGATGGAGAAAGCGGTCAGGAGAGACCCAGAGGAGGGAGACTGGGCTCAGTTTGGGGAGATCAGAGGTTCCCTCAGCCCCTCAACCTTACCCATTTCCCAGAAGCCCATCCTGGCCTCTCACCCACACAGAGATGTCATCACCAG
The DNA here is from genome assembly GCF_000001405.40 of Homo sapiens. NCBI lineage: Eukaryota > Metazoa > Chordata > Mammalia > Primates > Hominidae > Homo > Homo sapiens. The sequence continues at coordinate 158,229 of NT_187636.1, read as the reverse complement.
CAACCCCTACACCCTTTACTTTTGTTTGAAGAAATATTTATTGAGGATAAATATACCTATATAGCTTACCACCTTTAACATTTTTTTTTTTTTGAGGCAGAGTCTAGCTCTGTCCCCTATGCTGGAGTGCAGTGGCACAATCTCAGCTCACTGCAACTTCCGCCTCCTGGGTTCAAGCGATTCTCCTGCCTCAGCCACCTGAGTAGCTGGTGCTACAGGTGCGCACCACCACGCCAGGCTACTTTTTGTATTTTTAGTAGAGAGGTGGTTTCACCATGTTGGTCGAGCTGGTCTGCAACTCCTGACCACGTGATCCACCCGCATCTGCCTCCCAAAGTGCTGGGATTACAGGCATGAGCCACCACGCCCAGCCACATTTACCATTTTTAAGTGTAAAGTCTAGTGGTCATAAATACATTTATATATATATATATATATACATTTTTTTTACCCTCCACCCTTTTCTTCCTGCCCTCCAGTAGCCACCATTCTACTCTCTACCTTCATGAGATCCACCTTTTAGCTCCTGTATATGGGTGAGAAATGGGAATCTTTGTAATGACCTCCAGTTCCATCCATGTGGCTGCAAATGACAGGATGTTATTCTTTCTATGGATGAGTAGTCTCCACTGTGCGTATGTACTACATTCTCTCTATCCATTCACCCACTGATGGGCAGGTAGGTTGACTCCTCATCTTGGCTACTGTGAACAGTGCTGCACCAATCATACGAGTGCAGATATCACTTCGATATATTGATTTACTTTCCTTTGGATATAAACCCAGTAGTGAAATTGCTGGATACTATGAAAGTTCTCTTTTTTTTTTTTTTCTTTTTTGAGAAAGAGTTTCCCTCCTTAGCCCAAGCTGGAGTCAAAGTGGTGCGACCTTGGCTCATTGCAACCTCCGCCTCCTGGGTTCCAATGATTTTCCTGCCTCAGCCTCCCTAGTAGCTGGGATTACAGGTGCACGCCACCATGCCTGGCTACTTTTTGGTTTTTTTAGTATAGATGCGGTTTCCCCATGTTGGCTGGGCTGCTCTCAAACTCATGACCTCAACTGAGGTGCCCGCCTCAGTCTCCCAAAGTGCCGGGATTACAGGCCTGATCCACCACACCCAACCTCTTTTTAGTTCTTTAAAGGACTTCCATACTTTTCTCCGTAATCGCTGTACTAATTTACACTCCTCCCAACAGGGTACCAGGGTTCTCCTTTCTCTAGCACTTTGCCAGCATTTCTTTTGCCTGTCTTGCAGCTAAAAGCCATTTTATTTATTTCATTTTATTTTGAGATGGAGTTTTGCTCTTCTCACCCAGGCTGGAGTGCAGTGGCGCTATCTCGGCTCACCACAACCTCCACCTCCCAGGTTCAAGCGATTCTCCTGCCTCAGCCTCCCGAGTAGCTGGAATTACAGGCACACGCCACCACGCCCGACTAATTTTTGTATTTTTAGTAGAGACAGCGTTTCTCTATGTGGGTCATACTGGTCTCAAACTCCCGACCTTATGAGATTCACCCACCTCAGGCTCTCAAAGTTCTAGGATGACAGACGTGAGCCACCTCACCCGGCCTAAAAGCCATTTTAATGGGGTGAGATGAAAACTCACTTTGATTTTAATTTGCATTTCTCTGATGATGAGTGATACTGAGCACTTTTTCATATGTGGGGAAATTTCATGTCTTTTGCTCCTTTTTCAATTAAATCATTTGTTTTATTGAGTTGTTTGAGCTTCTTATATTTCTAGTTATTAATCCCATCTCAGATGCATAGTTTGCACATATTTGCTCCCAATCTGTGGGTTGTCTCTTCACTTTGTTGGTTTATTTTTAGCAGTGCAGAAGTTGCTTAGTTTGAGGTAATCCCAATGGTCTATTTTTGCTTCGATTACTTGTGTTTTCAAGGTTTAAAACAAAATGTCTTCCTTCAGACAAACGTCCTGGAGCATTTCCCCAATATTTCTTCTACGTGTTTCATAGGTTCAGGCCTTAGACTCACATCTTTAATCCATTTTCATTTGATTTTTGTGTATGGTGACAGGTAGAGGTGCAGTTTCATTCCTCTGCATGTAGATGTCCAGGTTTCCCTGCACTGTTTATTGAAAAGACTGTCCTTTCCTGATTGTGAGTTCTTGGCACCTTTGTCAAAGTCCATTGGATGGGCTGGGCTTGGTGGCTCACACCTGCAATTCCAGCACTTTGGGAGGCCGAGGCGGGTGGATTACCTGAGGCCAGGAGTTCAAGATCAGTCTGGCCGACGTGATGAAACATCGTCTCCACTAAAAATATAAAAATTAGCTGAGCATGGTGGTCAGCACCTGTAATACCACTACTCAGGAGTTTGAGGCAAGAGAATGATTGAACCCAGGAGGCTGAGGTTGCAGTGAACTGAGATTGCACCTCTGCACTCCAGCCTGAGTGACAGAGCAAGACTCCATCTCAAAAGAAAAAATAAAAAACCATTGGATGTAAATGCATGGAATATATCTGTGTTATTCATTCTGCTCCATTGTTCTATGTGCCTTTCTTTATGCCAATGTCATGCTGTTTTGCTTACTACAGCTCTGTAACATATTTTGAGATCAGGTAGTGTGATGCTCCTGTTTTCTCTTTATACCTTGAAGTCTCAAGACAGTGGGCGTCACATACAAAAATTATGGAAAAAAGGATCCCAGGACTCCCAGGGCCCAATATTAGATAACAGAGTGTTGGCCATGAACCATCCTCAAAGATTTCCACTGAGTAGAGGACAGACACCCTCATTTCCTCACCTCTCTCCTGTCTCATATTCTAGGAAACCCTTCAAATAGTTGGCCTTCACCCACTGAACCAAGCTCCAAAACCGGTGAGTACAGAACCCTCTTATATCCGCTTTTGGAAACCTGGGGAGGTGGAAACCTTGGATTCAGGCGTTGACTCAGCATCTCACAGCTCTGACATTGTACCCCTGTCTTCCACCATCTCCGAACTCCAGATACTCCTACAGCGAAAGGGATCTGGGCCCAACACAGGGCTCAGTGAAATCTCTTCATCTCTCATTTTATGGAGCTGAGACCTCCTACAAGCTAGAAGAATGATTGCCAATCTGACATCCTTCTCAGGAAAAATGCAATGTTTGTTCTGCCTGCATTCCTAACTGGAGGATAAATTCCTGGAGACTTGAGAGAGGGAAGGGAAGGGAACATCTGATGAGGGCGAGGTGTTTTAGAGAAGTTCCACTTGCCAAGGAATGAGCTCCTATAGGTCATGAAGCAACCCTGGCTGACTCAGCAGAGAAAGAGCCTTGCTGTAACAGAGAACAGAGCTCATGCACGCACACTTCGACTCACTGACTCATTCAGCCACGGCCCCATGCTCAGGCTGTGCAGTGTGGAAGCTTTTCCTATTGTTGCCATAACAAATTTCCACAAGATTCGTGGGTGAAAACAAAACGGTTTTTTAATTATCTTGCAGTGCTGTAGCTCAAAGTATGAAGTGCATCTCACTGGGCTAAAATCAAGGTGACAGCAAGGCTGCCTTCCCTCTGAGGATTCCAGGCAAGAATCTGCTTCTCACTTTTCTCAGCTTCTAGAGGCTCCCACATTCCTTCGCTCCTGGTCCCCTTCCTCCTTCCTCAAAGCCCACAAAGGCTGGTCACATCTCACATGGCATCACTCAGACCCTTCTTCCTTACCACACCTCTTTCTCTGAATGCTGCTCTCCCTTCTTCCTCATCTTTTGAAAACTTGGGGATTCTATTGGGTTCACCAAGATGAAAATCCATCATAATCTCCCGGAAATCATTCAGGATACCCTTGTTTTAAGTTCAGCTGATTAGCAACCATAATTCCATCTGCAATCTTCATTCCTCCTTTCCATGTAAAATAAGATATTCACAAGCTATGGAGGCTAGGACAGGGACATTTTGGGGTGGGACAGCATTCTCCTACCTTCCACAAACAGTGAACAAGATGCATTTGGCCTCTGCTCTTGGGACACTGATATTGCAGATGGTTAAATGGGAGGGCAGAAAATGAATGCACAAGTGGACCAATAAATGAATGATCCATTGGGAAGCATCTGTGTATGAAATCTATTTGTTTGTTTCTTCATTTGTTTATTGAGACAGAGTCGCCCTCTGTCTTCCAGGCTACAGTGCAGTGTCACCATCTTGGCTCACTGCAACCTGCACCTTCTGGATCCAAGTGATTCTCCTGCGTCAGCCTCTCAAGTAGCTGGGATTACAGGCAACTGCCACCATGCCCGGCTAATTCTTTTTGTATATTTTTTGTAGAGGATGTTTCACCATCTTCGCCAAGCTTCTCTGAAACTCCCAACCTCAAGTGATCCGACCGTCTCAGCATCCTAAAGTACTGGGATAACTGGCGTGAGCCACTGTGCCCAGCCAGAATTTAAAATAAATAATACATAATGCTGAGTGTATGATTTTGGGTGACAGAGAAGATCTCACTAATCAGATATTTGTGACATTAATGAAAAACACGGATTGAACCCCTGAAAGATTGGTGGAAGGATTTTCCACACACAGCTGTCAGCCGTGAACGCACAAAGGTGAAAATAATCTGATGTTGAAGGAAGAGGCTCTTCCTCAAATGCTGGGAATGACGTGGGGAGAATGACAAGACGACTGTGGAGAGACGGAGAGCACACTGGGTACACAGGAAACTAAGGAGCAACAAGGAGTGTGTGTTTGACACTCACAGCCATTGGATTCACCTCGGGGTAACCAGGAATCCCTACATGATTAATATGACTGACATGAAAATAAGGGAGGCCCAGGTGCGTAACTAGAATCTAGGAGACTGTGGAAAAGGCAATTCCCGCCTCACTGGTGAAATGTGGTGCTGATTTAGACCCTAACTGGGTGAAGCAGATGGATATAAGCTATGCTTGTGAGGTGGAATCATTGGCTGGAAAGGCTTGCTGGGTATGATTTTCCTAGTTGTCTAATCCTCGCTTAATTTCTTTCTGAGCTTTATTCCTACTACACATAAATCAATACCTGGCAAAGGAGTGACAGATATATGAGTGGTGGTGGAAATGAAGGGACCTATTATAGCATAATATACAAGTCTGTGAACGGTGGCTCACGCCTGTAACCCAGCACTGCAGGAGGCCAAGGAGGGTGGATCACATGAAGTCAGCAGTTCGAGACCAGCCTGGCCAACCTGGTGAAACCCTGTCTCTAGGAAAAACACAAAAATTAGCCGAGCATGGTGGTGCATCCCTGTAATCCCAGCTCCTACTCTGGAGGATGAAGCAGGAGAATGACTTCAACCCAGGAGGTGGAGGTTGCAGTGAGTGGAGATTGCATCACTGCACTCCAGCCTGGGTGACACAAGGAGACTCCGTCTCAAAAAATAAAAATAAGAAATGCATAAATATAAATATAATATAACACACGCAAATGACAAAGGGACCTGAATTCCAATCATGATTTTTCTATTTCTCTATAATTACTTCTTTGATCTTTTATCTTATCCATTAGGCAATGAGCCTAAAACCTCTTCCCTATTTGGCTTTCTGTGAGCATGAGATCATATAGAAAATGTGAAAGCCCGCTGAATCCTCCAGCACAGATCCTGGAATACACAAAGTGCTCTGTTCATCACAAAAAAAACATGCCCTCTCACCCAAATCCCCCACCTCACCCCTACTTCCAATCATCTGTGGAGATTCAGATAGACCATGGGGAGGTAAATTCTAATACTCCTTGGAGTGAGTCCAGATCTTGGAATCAGAGATCAGCGTCAGCACTAGCTCCTGCTCCCCTTTCCTACTAATTCACAGGAGGACAGGTGGTATTGAAGCAATAGATGGCCGAGGGGGTGGTCCTTCCCCCAGCCTCTGGGGTAGAACAGCAGCCTAACATGTGTCTCCGGAGATCACAAAGAGTAGCACGTTTCACATGGGCTTCAACACTGTTTCCTGGCCATTTGACATAAGAGAATTCTACTTCGCTTTTTTTATCTTGATTTCACTTTTGTTTCCTTTTCTTGGAGAATGCAAGTTGTTTGACTCAAGAATGCCCTGGATGTAGAAATCCTAAAGCACATTCGCTGTGTATCAATCCCAGTGCAGTCTTCCCAGAGAAGACTCTAAACACCTCCTGGACTGCACCTGGGCCTATGCCAATTCCTATCACTCACCGTCACTCCAGGGAGACAGAACACACAGAGAATACATTACACAGGCAGGTTCATTACTAACAGATAAGCAGCGAGTGACAACAGAAGCCTACATTTCAATGTGAGCCAGTCCCTCAAGGCTCAGAAAAGCTGCTCGGGACATATGGAGTCACCCCATTTGCAGTGTAGCTGGGGGAAGCCAGAAAGCAGCCCAGCCTGGGTTTTGTACCCTGGAGCCACAGGAAGCACTCAGCTAAAGCACTGCATGACGCCTTCCTCCAGGAAGAACAGGAAGACAGCCCAGGCTGTTCTGAGACATTCCTCCTGATCTCAGTACGTTGCTGTCGTAGTTTTTTTTTGTTGCTCTAAAGGAAAACTTGAGCCTCGGTAACTTCTAAAGAAAAGAGATCGGTTTGCCTCACCGTTCTGCAGGCTGTACTGGAAGCATGGTACCAGAATCTATTTCTTGTGACGGCCTCAGGCTGCTCCCACTCTGGCAGAAGGGAAGGAGGGTCTGTCTGTGCAGAGACCGCAGAGATCACACGGCAAGAGAGAGAGTAAGGGGGAGGGGGAGCGATGGAGCTTCCAAGCTCTTTTGAACAACCAGCTCTCCAGGAACTAATAGAGGGGGAACTTGCTAACCCCGTCTCCTTGGGACAGCATTGTTCTGTTCATGATGGATCCACCTCCATGACCCAAACACCTCCCAAGAGGCCCAACCTCCCACACTGGGGGTGAAATTTCCATGTGAGGTTTGAAGGGGTCAGACATCTCAACTAAAGTAGTTGTATCCTCAGCACGTTCTATGGTTACTATGAGAGCTATAACTGAGAAAGCAGGGGAAAGCTAGGTCTCCCACCATTTGGGTGCTTGTCCTAAAGAGACGTTGTATGTGGTTACCTGTCAATCAAGAAATGCGAGACAATTCATAAAGAGGAACTGCTATGATTAGCTTCTTATTGGTGTCTCCTCTTCTTCCAGGTAACCCCAGACACCTACACGTTCTGATTGGGACCTCAGTGGTCAAACTCCCTTTCACCATCCTCCTCTTCTTTCTCCTTCATCGCTGGTGCTCCGACAAAAAAAGTAAGTCTCACGAAGCAGAGGCCAGAGAGCTCAGGGCCATGTGGGGAAGCAGGATGTTAGCACGTGGGTGTGTGTTCCTCACAGGCAGGATGGTCCCTGGCCCAAGACAGGAGCCACAGAGGCAGGACTTTCTAGAGAGAGCACCAGACTCCCTGCCCCTGCCTTCAGCTCACAGACCATTGCCTGATTCTGAACTGTACCCTCACGTCCCCTGCAGCCACTCACATCCAGGAGAAGGTTCCATGACAGGCAGAAAGTGGGAGATAGAATCAATGGGATGGGAACTCAGAGCTATTCATGGGATGGGTCCTTGAGCTCAGAGAGATAGAATGTCTGAGTCTGCTGTTGGCAACTGAGGGACCTCAGGCACCTATGGCCTCCCCCTGTTTGTTGGTATCTGCTTATGAAATGAGGACCCAGAAGTGCCCTCCGAGCTGTTTTGTTGACTTCCATCTTCTACAGATGCATCTGTAATGGACCAAGGGCCTGCGGGGAACAGAACAGTGAACAGGGAGGTAGGTGCTCCTCGGCCCAGCCTCGTGGCTAGTCTTATTCCCAAAGAGTCCTGAAAAATGTGAGCACCCTCCCTCACTCAGCATTTCCCTCTCTCCAGGATTCTGATGAACAGGACCATCAGGAGGTGTCATACGCATAATTGGATCACTGTGTTTTCACACAGAGAAAAATCACTCCCCCTTCTCAGAGGCCCAAGACACCCCCAACAGATAGCAGCATGTACATAGAACTTCCAAATGCTGAGTCCAGATCCAAAGCTGTCTTCTGTCCACGAGCACCACAGTCAGGCCTTGAGGGGATCTTCTAGGGAGACAACAGCCCTGTCTCAAAACCGGGTTGCCAGCTCCCATGTACCAGCAGCTGGAATCTGAAGGCATCAGTCTTCATCTTAGGGCATCGCTCTTCCTCACACCACGAATCTGAACATGCCTCTCTCTTGCTTACAAATGTCTAAGGTCCCCACTGCCTGCTGCAGAGAAAACACACTCCTTTGCTTAGCCCACAATTCTCCATTTCACTTGACCCCTGCCCACCTCTCCAACCTAACTGGCTTACTTCCTAGTCTACTTGAGGCTGCAATCACACTGAGGAACTCACAATTCCAAACATACAAGAGGCTCCCTCTTAACACGGCACTTAGACACGTGCTGTTCCACCTTCCCTCATGCAGTTCCACCTCCCCTCAGACTATCTTTCAGCCTTCTGTCAGCAGTAAAACTTATAAATTGTTTTTAGTAATTTCAATGTAGTTTTCCCTCCTTCAAATAAACATGTCTGCCCTCATCGTTTCGGTAATGGGACTCTTTTCTTTCCTAAGGCTTCCGGTGTTATCATTACCATGTCCACATAACCCCATCTGTTCTCCACTGGGTTCTCACCCCTGGACTCTGAGCTTCTGGAACAGGGTGGACCCTGACTTGTCTCTGAGACTCCAATTTCCATCCAAAGATGCAGCACATAGGAAGTTCCAAGGATCGTGAATCACATGAACAAGTGATATTCTTACTCTCTGCAGACCTGGAAAGCTGGCAGAGTCATTCCATGATGAAACATTTGTAGAGTCATAGGCCTTGTTAGTCTCATCTCCACGGGGACACATGTCAACGCATCATCTTTCATACTATAAATATACAGTCGCTCCTCCGTATCTGTGGGGTTTACAGGTGTTTATTGAACCAAGTATAAATCAAAAATATTCAGAGAAAAAGCCCACAAAGTTCCAAAAAGCAAAACTGTGTTGAATGCACACAAATGAGGTGGTGTATAGGCTGTATCAGGAATTATAAGTAATCAAGAGATGATTTCATGTATACAGGAGGATGTGCATGGGTTATATCCAAATGCTGTGTCATTTTACGTAAGAGGCTTGAGCATCTGCAGATTTTAGTATCTGAGTGGAGATCTCGAAACCAATCACCCATGAATAGTGAAGGATGACGGTATAGGACTTTTATTTCTCAAATTTAAATATAAATCATAAAAAATGTACAATAACTAGATAAAAACTAAGAAGTGTTTTTATAGTGTGAGAATAAGTTTAGATTTATTATTTCCTATGTGTAACCCTTTGGTTTAATATTATTTATTGAGAAGACATTCTATGCCACCTTAAACCACACGGCAGCTTTGTCAACTAAAAAGGGACTGTGTGTACACGGATGTGTATTTTAGACACTGTCTCTGCTAAACGGCTCTCTGTGTCCACATTCTTGAGGATGCTCCACTTTATGTAGCCCCATAGAACCCTTTAAATTTAGTAGCCAGAGGCCTCTAATTTGTTATTATAGGCTATTTGCTATTTTTATTTTCTTGAGGCGGAGTCTTGCTCTGTCGCCCAGGCTGGACTGCAGTGGTGCAATCTCAGCTCACTGCAACCTCCGCCTCCCAGGTTCAAGCGATTCTCGTGCCTCAGCCTCTTGGGTAGCTGGCGTTACAAGTTCCTGCCACTGGGCACGGCTAATTTTTGGATTTTTAGCAGAGACACGGTTTCACTGTGTTGCCAGGCTGCTCTCAAACTCCTTATATCAGTTGATCCGCCCACCTCGGCTTCCCGACGTGCTGGGGGAAACTTGATTTTCTATAGCATTATGTTACTGGATATTTCTGTAAAATTTAAAATGAGGGAGGCAGAGAGACAGAGAGAGAACAAACTCCAGAGTTGGGACTCTGGAAACTTGGGTCATGAGACAAATTTTAGATAAATCTACAAAAATCCAGAGTTTAAATGTGTGGTTTTTGCTGATAACGTACAATTCAAAGATTGTAAATAATTGCATAATCCTTCCCTGGGAATTTAAATCATTTTAACTGGTTCTGCTGTAATACTAGAAATACAAGCATGAAAAATTCTAATGGTTTATTAGTCACAATGACTCTGAAAACCTTAATAATACCTATTAGATATTTTGCATATTACACATGAAGAAGAGTTTGAATCTCAGATAAAAACAATAAAAATACATGAAAAGTCTTTCACGTTAGCACAGATTTTAGGCATCTCGTGTTCAGGAGGTTGGATCTGAGACGTGTTTTGAGTTGGTCATAGTGAAGGACGCTAGGTGTAAATTCTAGTGAGAACAATTTCCAGGAAGCCGTGTTCCGCTCTTGAGCGAGCACCCACTGGGCCTCATGCAAGGTAGAATGAGCCTGCGTACGTCACCCTCCCATGATGTGGTCAACATGTAAACTGCATGGGCAGGGCGCCAAATAACATCCTGTGCGCTGCTGAGCTGAGCTGGGGCGCGGCCGCCTGTCTGCACCGGCAGCACCATGTCGCTCACGGTCGTCAGCATGGCGTGTGTTGGTGAGTCCTGGAAGGGAATAGAGGAAGGGAGTGTGGGGTTGGAGATCTGGGCCCAGAGGTGGAGATATAGGCCTGGAGGTGGAGTTGTGGGCCTGGAGTGGAGATCTGGGCCTGGAGTGGATATATGGGCCTAGAGATGGAGTGATGGGCCTAGAAGTGGAGATCTGGGCCTGGAGTGCCGATAGGAACCTGGAGGGGAGATAGGAGCCTGGAGTGGAGATATGGGCCTGGAGGTGGAGTTATAGGCCTATAGTAGAGATATGGGCCTGGAGTGGAGATTTGGGCCAGGAGTGGAGATATGGGCCTAGAGGTGGATATCTGGGCCTAGAGTGGAAATATGGGCCTAGGATGGAGATATGGGCCTGGTTGTGGAGATATGGGACTGGAGAGGAGATATGGGCCTAGAGTGGAGATATGGGCTTGGGGTGGAGATCTGGGCCTGGGGTGGAGATATGGGCCTGGAGGTGGAGTTACGGGCCTTCAGTAGAGATATGGGCCTGGGGTGGAGATATGGGCTTGGGGTGGAGATCTGGGCCTGGAGTGGAGATATGGGCCTGGAGGTGGAGTTACTGGCCTTCAGTAGAGATATGGGCCTGGTGTGGAGATATGGGCCTGGATTGGAGATATGGGCCTAGGGTGGAGATCTGAGCCTGGAGTGGAGATATGGGCCTGGATTGGAGATATGGGCTTACAGTGAAGATCTTGGCCTGGATTGGCGATATGGGCCTGGATTGGCGATATGGGCCTATGATGGAAATATCGGCCTGGAGTGGAGATATGGGCCTGGAGTGGAGATACAGGCCTAGGGTGGAAATATTGGCCTGGAGTGGAGATATGGGCTTCTGGTGGGGATATGGGCTTGTGGTGGGGATCTGGGCTTGGAGGCTGGGTCTCTGCACAGCCGACAGCCCTGTTCTTGGGTGCAGGTAGGCACTGAGGGTGAGTTTAACTTCAGCCCAGGAAGGGCCTGCCTACCAAGACTCACAGCCCAGTGAGGGCAGCAAGGGAGGGCTGGTTCGCCTGCAGATGGATGGTCCATCATGATCTTTCTTTCCAGGGTTCTTCTTGCTGCAGGGGGCCTGGCCACATGAGGGTGAGTCCTTCTCCAAACCTTCGGGTGTCATCTCCCCACATAAGAGGATTTTCCTGAAACAGGAGGGAAGTCCTGTCGGGGAGCCTCTCATAAACTAGGAAGAGGGGACCCTGGGGTGCTCAGCCCACAGTTCCGACCTCGCCTCCCTGGCCTTTCATTCCCTTGGCAGAGTCAAGTTCTGTGGGGACCAGGGTTAGACTGGGGTGCTCAAAGCTGGGGTGTGTGGTGGGGAAGTGGTAGGAACAGCAGATCCTCTGAGGACAAAGGTGTTACTCACACTTCAGCGTTTCCATGACGGTAGGGGCTGCAGTGTGGCTGCTGTCACTCCACCAGAAGAGGTGGGAAACCACAGCCATGGCCCTGACATTCCAAATCCTCTGATGGGGGCTCAGTTGCTTATTTTCATTCAGGCATCGGCTGATATTCCATTCTCAAAGGACATGCCCTCCACCCCATGTCTACCCTGTGTTGTTTTATGTGAGTAATCTTACAGTATTAAAATCTAGTAGGAGTCTCTTACTCAGCACTTGCTCAAAGTTCTCAGCTGACACTTTTGTTGTAGGGAGACACCTTGTGTTTGCGGGATGGGTCCTTCCTTTAGCCCTGGGCACCAAGGTGTGATAGCAGCCATAGAAACTTGGAAAGCGAGGAGAATCTTCAGAGCACAGGGAGGGAGGGGTGGCTCCACATCCTCCTCTCTAAGGCGGTGCCTCCTTCTCCCCAAGGTGGTCAGGACAAGCCCTTGCTGTCTGCCTGGCCCAGCTCTGTGGTGCCTCCAGGACATGTGATTCTTCGGTGTCATTCTTATCTTGGGTTTAACAACTTCAGTCTGTAAAAGGAAGATGGGGTGCCTGGCACTGAGCTCTACAACAGAATATTCTGGAAGAGCCTTTTCATGGGCCCTGTGACCCCAGCACACACAGGGACGTACAGATGTCGGGGTTCACACCCACACTCCCCCAGTGGGTGGTCGGCACCCAGCAACCCCCTGGTGATCATGGCCACAGGTCAGAGGGCTCCTGTCTTGGATTCTCCTTTCCCACCTCCTGAATCCCAGAGCTTCTGGTGGGCGTGTCCTTGAGGGTCCCATCACCCAGGCCCTGACTATATTTGGGGTAAAGGGGGATTGAATACAGGGAAATGGGTGCTGTGGTGGGAAGAATAATTGTCCCCAGTGATGACTACATTCTAATCCCTGGAGTCTGTGACTATTTATGTTATAGGGGAAGGAACTGAAGGGGAAGATGGAGCTCAGGTTGTTGATGAGTTGACCTTGAGATGGGGAGACAGCCTGGACTGTCCCGCTGGGCTCAGTGTAATCACAAGGGTCCACATGAAAGGAGGAGGAAGAGGGGAGTGGGGATTAGAGCAGCGCAATGGGAGACTCCACCAGCTTTGAAGGTGGAGGAAGTCCAGGAGCCATGAATGCAGGTGGCCTGTAGAGGCTGGAAAAGTCAAGGAAATGATTCTCCAGAGTCTCCAGAGGGAACGAAGCCCTGCAGATGCCTTGATTTTAGCCCAGGAAAAACAGGGTCCTATTTCTGTCTCCAGTAGTGAAATGGGTCAGTGTGCTCTCTCCTGCTGCCATGCTGCTGATAATTTTCTACAGCAGCAACAGGAAACCAACACTGGAACCCAGGTCAAGGACAAGTTAAGAAACAACACAAGGATAGCCGGGTGTGGTGGCAGGCGCATGTAATCCTAGCGACTTGGGAGGCTGAGGGCAGGAGAATCACTTGAACCCAGGAGACAGAAGTTGCAGTGACCCTAGACCACACCACTTCACTCCAGCTGGGGTGAAGGAGTGAGACTCTGATCTCCATAATTAATTAATTAATTAAAGGAACCAAACAAGGGGAAGGTTGGCTACACCTAGATCAGCAAGTGTGGGATGATGATGCCACCACCAGGCTCCATCCACATAGGGAGGGGTTGATACTCCTCAAACCAGCACCAGGAGCCAGCCTATGGAAGCTGGCACCATGGAGAAGGCACAGGCATGGCAAGAGTGGCTCCCAGTCCCGACCAGGAACAGGGTGTGTGGACACTGCTGCCTGCCTTATTCATCAGTTCATACCTCCTGCCAAGGATTCCAATTCATCCAAAAGAGATTGAACCAGGCTGATAAGAGGCTGGATGTGCAGCCTATCCTGGTTCCTCTTTCACCCCCACATAAACAGCAGGAAAGACATTAGTGTGAAATAGATACAACACCCCAAGAGATGAGGCTAAGCCCAGTGGGAAGGGAATCAGAGGCGACTAGAGACAGAGAGACAGAGAAGAGGGAGGGAGACAGATGGAAGGACCTGCACCAGGAGTTATGGGCACAGAAAAGAACATGAAGACACAGAGAGGAAGGAGAGAGACAGACACCAGCAAGGGGAAGCCTCACTCATTCTAGGTGCCATGGATGGGATGATAAAGAGAGACACCTTCTAAACTCACAACCTCTCTTCCTAGGAGTCCACAGAAAACCTTCCCTCCTGGCCCACCCAGGTCCCCTGGTGAAATCAGAAGAGACAGTCATCCTGCAATGTTGGTCAGATGTCAGGTTTGAGCACTTCCTTCTGCACAGAGAGGGGACATTTAACGACACTTTGCACCTCACTGGAGAGCACCATGATGGGGTCTCCAAGGCCAACTTCTCCATCGGTCCCATGATGGAAGACCTGGCAGGGACCTACAGATGCTACGGTTCTGTTACTCACTCCCCCATCAGTTGTCAGCTCCCAGTGACCCTCTGGACATCGTCATCACAGGTGAGAGTGTCCGGACATTCTTCTCATTGTCATTGGGATGCAGAGTGAATGATCCACGACTTGGAACCCCCAGGTAGTTGTAAGGAAGATGAGCTTGGTATTCTTATGGAGAGAGACTGACTTGGTGAGGTCTGTACCAACAGAGACAGAGAAACAGGAGACACAAGTACAGACCAGGTGTCATAACAGAGGACAGACACAGGGGCCATACCGGGAGTTAGAAAAGACAGAAGGAGTTAAAGGAGACAGACAGACAGACATGTCCCAGAGAGAGGTGTCCCTCCATGCTGACTTTGCTCAGAGACCTGGCACAGGTTAGAAGTTTCATTTCTGTTTTACCTCCACAAAGTGTTCTCTACCAGGAGAACCCAAGGACACCCATATTTCTGACCTGAGTTGGGCCCTGTGGCCTCAGGCCTTGTGGCACCTACAGATGCCGTGTTTATTCTCACACCTCTGCCTTCCATGTAATGGAGAGTAACCGTCCCAGGATATCATGGCCCCAGAACACCAACCCCTGTATGCTGTGTGAACTTGTGGTCTCCAGACTGGATTCTGAGGCTCACATTCCAAATAACCCCACATATGAAAGGATCACTGAGAGGCACAGAGAGAAATCAGGGACACCAAAAAGCAAAGACATAAACACACAGAGAATGAGCCAGAGGAAGGAGATTGAGAGACTCACAGACACATAAAGAGAGAGAAAAGAGGGCAGAGGAGTGGTGAGAATGATGGAAGGGAGCAGAGAAAAGCACTAAAATTAGAGTCCTGAGGGAGAGGCACAAGGACATAGAAAGATGGAGATGTGGGGATGAATTGCAGAGATTCCAAAGAGAACTAGAGAGACCGAGAGGCAGAGCAAGACAGATGATAGATGGTTAGATATAGATAGATGATAAATAGGTAGATGATAGATAATAGGTTAAAGATACATAGATGATGATTGATTGATTCATTAATAGATGAGACATAGAGATGATGATGATGAAGACAGATAGATAATACATAGAGATAGAGAGGCAGACAGAAGTCATAGAGAGAGAGATGATACATAGATATAGATAACAGATGATTGATGGATAGATAGACAAGTGATAGATACATAGATGATATATAGATATAGATGACAGGTAGAGAATTTGTAGATAGGCACCGAATAGATAAATAGATAGATCGACAGATAATAGATAGAAATATGCAGAAAGTTATGAACAGGACACAAAGTGAGAAACTTAGAATTTAAAAAAGTAACATCAAGTGAACCAATCCAAGGAGAGTCAGAGAGAATAAAACAATCCAAAAAGGGAAAACATATCTAGAGGTGTGGAAGCGAGGTCAGAGACCTAGAGAGACAGAGAAGGTGGAAGGAGGAAATAGACATGAAGAGAGATGGGGTGGAGGGTGAGAGAGAGAGAGAGAGAGCATTAGGTCATAGAGCAGGGGAGTGAGTTCTCAGCTCAGGTGAAGGGAGCTGTGACAAGGAAGAGCCTCCGTAAGGAAAATGCCTCTTCTCCTTCCAGGTCTATATGAGAAACCTTCTCTCTCAGCCCAGCCGGGCCCCACGGTTCTGGCAGGAGAGAGCGTGACCTTGTCCTGCAGCTCCCGGAGCTCCTATGACATGTACCATCTATCCACGGAGGGGGAGGCCCATGAACGTAGGTTCTCTGCAGGGCCCAAGGTCAACGGAACATTCCAGGCTGACTTTCCTCTGGGCCCTGCCACCCACGGAGGAACCTACAGATGCTTCGGCTCTTTCCGTGACTCTCCCTACGAGTGGTCAAACTCGAGTGACCCACTGCTTGTTTCTGTCACAGGTGAGGAAAGCCCATGGCTGTCCCATGTCCTATGATCCTAGAGCCTTAGCTGAGGAGCTTCCTGCTGAGGATGGAGAGAAGGATGAACAGATGCAGAGAGAAGACGAAGCTTGGGTGTGAGGGAGGGATCAGGGCACAGGATGGCAGACAGGGCACCTCCAAACCCTCCTACATGGCCTGCATGAAGGCCTGCGGCCAGGACTCCAGGCACCCAGGCAGATGGAGAAAGCGGTCAGGAGAGACCCAGAGGAGGGAGACTGGGCTCAGTTTGGGAAGATCAGAGGTTCCCTCAGCCCCTCAACATTACCCATTTCCCAGAAGCCCATCCTGGCCTCCCACCCACACAGGGATGTCATCACCTGCAACCCCTACACCGTTTACTTTTGTTTGAGAAATATTTATTGAGGATAAATATAACTATATAGCTTACCACCTTTAACATTTTTTTTTTTGAGGCGGAGTCTAGCTCTGTCCCCTATGCTGGAGTGCATTGGCACAATCTCAGCTCACTGCAACTTCCGCCTCCTGGGTTCAAGCGATTCTCTTGCCTCAGCCACCTGAGTAGCTGGTGCTACAGGCGCGCACCACCATGCCAGGCTACTTTTTGTATTTTTAGTAGAGAGGGGGTTTCACCATGTTGGTCAAGCTGGTCTCGAACTCCTGACCACGTGATCCACCCGCATCAGCCTCCCAAAGTGCTGGGATTACAGGCATGAGCCACCACGCCCAGCCACATTTACCATTTTTAAGTGTAAAGTCTAGTGGTCATAAATACATTAATATATATATATATACACATATATTTTTTTTTACCCTCCACCCTTTTCTTCCTGGCCTCTGGTAGCCACCATTCTACTCTCTACCTTCATGAGATCCACCTTTTAGCTCCTGTATATGGGTAAGAAATGGGAATCTTTGTAATGACCTCCAGTTCCATCCATGTGGCTGCAAATATCAGGATGTTATTCTTTCTATGGAAGAGTAGTCTCCACTATGCAAATGTACCACATTCTCTCTATCCATTCACCCACTGATGGGCAGGTAGGTTGACTCCACATCTTGGCTACTGTGAAGAGTGCTGCACCAATCATACGAGTGCAGATATCACTTCGATATATTGATTTACTTTCCTTTGGATATAAACCCAGTAGTGAAATTGCTGGATACTATGAAAGTTCTCTTTTTAGTTTTTCGTTTGTTGTTTTGTTTTTGTTTTTGAGACAGTTTCCCTCTGTGCCAGGCTGGAGTACAAGTGATATGATCTTGGCTCATTGCAACCTCTGCCTCCTGGGTTCAAATGATTTTCCTGCCTCAGCCTCCCTAGTATCAGGGATTATAGGCGCACGCCACCATGCCTGGCTACTTTTTGTTTTTTTTAGTATAGATGCGGTTTCCCCATGTTGGCTGGGCTGCTCTCAAACTCATGACCTCAACTGAGGTGCCCGCCTCGGTCTCCCAAAGTGCCGGGATTACAGGCCTGATCCACCTCACCCAACCTCTTTTTAGTTCTTTAAAGGACTTCCACACTTTTCTCCGTAATGGCTGTACTAATTTACACTCCTCCCAACAGGATACCAGGATTCTCCTTTCTCTAACACCTTGCCAGCATTTCTTTTGCCTGTCTTGCAGCTAAAAGCCATTTTATTTTATTTCATTTTATTTTGAGATGGAGTTTCGCTCTTGTCACCCAGGCTGAGTGCAGTGGTGCGATCTCGGCTCACCGCAACCTCCACCTCCCAGGTTCAAGCGATTCTCCTGCCTCAGCCTCCCGAGTAGCTGGAATTACAGGCACACGCCACCACGCCCGACTAATTTTTGTATTTTTAGTAGAGACAGTGTTTCTCCATGTGGGTCAGACTGGTCTCAAACTCCCGACCTTATGAGATTCACCCACCTCAGGCTCTCAAAGTTCTAGGATGACAGACGTGAGCCACCTCACCCGGCCTAAAAGCCATTTTAATGGGGTGAGATGAAAACTCACTTTGATTTTAATTTGCGTTTCTCTGATGATGAGTGATACTGAGCACTTTTTAGTATGTGGGGAAATTTCATGTCTTTTGCTCCTGTTTCAATTAAATCATTTGTTTTATTGAGTTGTTTGAGCTTCTTATATTTCTAGTTATTAATCCCATCTCAGATGCATAGTTTGCACATATTTGCTCCCAATCTGTGGGTTGTCTCTTCACTTTGTTGGTTTATTTTTAGCAGTGCAGAAGTTGCTTAGTTTGAGGTAATCCCAATGGTCTATTTTTGCTTCGATTACTTGTGTTTTCAAGGTTTAAAACAAAATGTCTTCCCTCAGACAAACGTCCTGGAGCATTTCCCCAATATTTTCTTCTACGTGTTTCATAGGTTCAGGCCTTAGACTCACATCTTTAATCCATTTTCATTTGATTTTTGTGTATAGTGACAGGCAGAGGTGCAGTTTCATTCCTCTGCATGTAGATGTCCAGGTTTCCCTGCACTGTTTATTGAAAAGACTGTCCTTTCCTGATTGTGAGTTCTTGGCACCTTTGTCAAAGTCCATTGGATGGGCTGGGCATGGTGGCTAACACCAGCAACTTCAGCACTTTGGGAGGCCAAGGCTGGTGGATCACCTGAGGACAGGAGTACAAGATTACTCTGGCCGACGTGATGAAACATCGTCTCCACTAAAAATATAAAAATTAGCTGAGCATGGTGGTCAGCACCTGTAATACCACTACTCAGGAGTTTGAGGCCAGAGAAGTGATTGAACCCAGGAGGCTGTGGTGGCAGTGAACCGAGATTGCACCTCTGCACTCCAGCCTGGGTGACAGAGCAAGACTCCATCTCAAAAGAAAAACAAAAAATACATTGGAGGTAAATGCATGGATTATATCTGTGTTATTCATTCTGCTCCGTTGTTCTATGTGCCTTTCTTCATGCCAATGTCATGCTGTCTTGCTTACTACAGCTCTGCAACATATTTTGAGATCAGGTAGTGTGATGCTCCTGTTTTCTCTTTATACCTTGAAGTCTCAAGACAGTAGCCGTCACATACAAAAATTACGGAAAAAAGGATCCCAGGACTCCCAGGGCCCAATATTAGATAACAGAGTGTTGGCCATGAACCAACCTCAAAGATTTCCACTGAGTAGAGGACAGACACCCTCATTTCCTCACCTCTCTCCTGTCTCGTGTTCTAGGAAACCCTTCAAATAGTTGGCCTTCACCCACTGAACCAAGCTCCGAAACCGGTGAGTACAGAACCCTCTTATATCCGCTTTTGGAAACCTGGGGAGGTGGAAACCTTGGATTCAGGCGTTGACTCAGCATCTCACAGCTCTGACATTGTACGCCTGTCTTCTACCATCTCCGAACTCCAGATACTCCAACAGCGAAAGGGATCTGGACCCAAAACAGGGCTGAGTGAAATCTCTTAATCTCTCATTTTATGGAGCTGAGATCTCCTACAAGCTAGAAAAATGATTGGCAATCTGACATCCTTCTCAGGAAAAATGCAATGTTTGTTCTGCCTGCATTCCTAACTGGAGGATAAATTCCTGGGGGCTTGAGAGAGGGAAGGGTAGGGAACATTTGATGAGGGCGAGGTGTTTTAGAGAAGTTCCACTTGCCCAGGAATGAATTACTGTTGGTCATGAAGCAACCCTGGCTGACTCAGCAGAGCAAGAGCTTTGCCTTAACAGAGAACGGAGCTCATGCACGCACACTTCGACTCACTGACTCATTCAGCCACGGCCCCATGCTCAGGCCGTGGAAAAGGCAATTCCCAGCACTGCAGGAGGCCAAGGCGGGTGGATCACTTGAAGTCAGGAGTTCCAGACCAGCCTGGCCAAAATGGTGAAACCCTGTCTCTATGAAAAATACAAAAATTAGTCGAGCATGGTGGTGCATCCCTGTAATCCCAGCTCCTACTCTTGAGGATGAAGCAGGAGAATGACTTCAACCCAGGAGGTGGAGGTTGCAGTGAGTGGAGATTGCATCACTGCACTCCAGCCTGGGTGACACAAGGAGACTCCGTCTCAAAAAATAAAAATAAGAAATGCATAAATATAATAAAACACACACGAATGACAAAGGCACCTGAATTCCAATCATCATTTTTGTATTTCTCTATAATTACTTCTTTGATCCTTTGTCTTATCCATTAGGCAATGAGCCTAAAACCTCTTCCGTATTTGGCTTTCTGTGAGCATGAGACCATATAGAAAATGTGAAAGCCCGCTGAATCCTCCAGCACAGATCGTGGAATAGAGAAAGTGCTCTGTTCATCACAAAAAAAACTTGCCGTCTCACTCAAATCCCCCACTTCACCCCTACTTCCAATCACCTGTGGAGATTCAGATAGACCATGGGGAGGTAAACATTAATACTCCTTGGAGTGAGTCCAGATCTTGGAATGAGAGATCAGCACCAGCACTAGCTCCTGCTCCCCTTTCCTACTAATTCACAGGAGGACAGGTGGTATTGAAGCAATAGATGGTGGAGGGGGTGGTCCTTCCCCCAGCCTCTCAGGTAGAACAGCAGCCTAACATGTGTCTCCCGAGATCACAAAGAGTAGGACGTTTCACAGGGGCTTCAACACGATTTCCTGGCTGTTGGACATAAGATAACTCTATTTCGCTTTTTTATCTTGATTTCACTTTTGTTTCCTTTCCTTGGAGAACGCAAGTTGTTTGACTCAAGAATGCTGTGGATGTAGAAATCCTAAAGCACATTCGCTGTGTGTCAATCCCAGTGCAGTCTTCCCAGAAAAGACCCTAAACACCTCCTAGACTGCACCTGGGCCTACGCCAATTCCTATCACTCACCGTCACTCCAGGGAGACAGAACACACAGAGAATACGTTACATAGGCAGGTTCATTACTAACAGATAAGCAGCGAGTGAAAACAGAAGCCTACATTTCAATGTGAGCCAGTCCCTCAAGGCTCAGAAAAGCTGCTCGGGACATATGGAGTCACCCCATTTGCAGTGTAGCTGGGGGAAGCCAGAAAGCAGCCCAGCCTGGGTTTTGTACCCTGGAGCCACAGGAAGCACTCAGCTAAAGCACTGCATGACGTCCTCCTCCAGGAAGAACAGGAAGACAGCCCAGGCTGCTCTGGGACGTTCCTCCTGATCTCAGGACGTTGCTGTCTTAGTCCATTTTTGTTGCTCTAAAGGAACACTTGAGCCTGGGCAACTTCTAAAGAAAAGAGATTGGTTTGTCTCACCGTTCTGCAGGCTGTACTGGAAGCATGGCACCAGCATCTATTTCTCGTGATGGCCTCAGGCTGCTCCCACTCTGGCAGAAGGGAAGGAGGGTCTGTCTGTGCAGAGACCACAGAGATCACACGGCAAGAGAGGGAGCAAGGGGGAGGGGGAGTGATGGAGCTTCCAAGTTCTTTTGAACAACCAGCTCTCCAGGAACTAATAGAGGGGGAACTTGCTAACCCCGTCTCCTTGGGACAGCATTGATCTGTTCATGATGGATCCACCTCCATGACCCAAACACCTCTCAAGAGGCCCAACCTCCCACAATGGGGGTGAAATTTCAATGTGAGGTTTGAAGGGGTCAAACATCTCAACTAAAGTAGTTGTATCCTCAGCACATTCTATGGTTACTTTGAGAGCTATAACTGAGAAAGCAGGAGAAAGCTGGGTCTCCCGCCATCTGGGTGCTTGTCCTAAAGAGGTGTATTACGTGGTTACCTGTCAATCAAGAAATGCGAGACAATTCATAAAAAGGAACTGCTATGATTAGCTTCTTATTGGTGTCTCATCTTCTTCCAGGTAACCCAAGACACCTGCACGTTCTGATTGGGACCTCAGTGGTCATCATCCTCTTCATCCTCCTCCTCTTCTTTCTCCTTCATCGCTGGTGCTCCAACAAGAAAAGTAAGTCTTACGAAGGAGAGGCCAGAGAGCTCCGGGCCATGTGGGGAAGCAGGATGGGAGCACTCAGGTGTGTGTTCCTCACAGGTAGGATGGTCCCTGGCCCAAGGCAGCAGCCACAGAGGCAGGACTTTCTAGAGAGGGCACCAGACTCCCTGTCCCTGCCTTCAGCTCACAGACCGTTGCCTGATTCTGAACTGTATCCTCACGTCCCCTGCAGCCACTCACATCCAGGAGAAGGTTCCATGACAGGCAGAAAGTGGGAGACAGAATCAATGGGATGGGAACTCAGAGCTATTCATGGGATGGGTCCTTGAGCTCAGAGAGATAGAATGTCTGAGTCTGCTGTTGGCAACTGAGGGACCTCAGGCTCCTATGGCCTCCCCCTGTTTGTTGGTATCTGCTTATGAAATGAGGACCCAGAAGTGCCCTCCGAGCTCTTTTGTTGACTTCCGTCTCCTACACATGCTGCTGTAATGGACCAAGAGCCTGCAGGGAACAGAACAGCGAATAGCTAGGTAGGTGCTCCTCGGCCCAGCCTCGTGGCTAGTGTTATTCCCAAACAGTCCTGGAAAATGTGAGCACCCTCCCTCACTCAGGATTTCCCTCTCTCCAGGACTCTGATGAACAAGACCCTCAGGAGGTGACATACGTACAGTTGGATCACTGCGTTTTCACACAGAGAAAAATCACTCGCCCTTCTCAGAGGCCCAAGACACCCCCAACAGATACCAGAGTGTACACGGAACTTCCAAATGCTGAGTCCAGATCCAACGTTGTCTCCTGCCCATGAGCACCACAGTCAGGCCTTGAGGGGATCTTCTAGGGAGACAATAGCCCTGTCTCAAAACCGGGTTGCCAGCTCCCATGTACCAGCAGCTGGAATCTGAAGGCGTGAGTCTGCATCTTAGGGCATCGCTCTTCCTCACACCACAAATCTGAATGTGCCTCTCTCTTGCTTACAAATGTCTAAGGTCCCCACTGCCTGCTGGAGAGAAAACACACTCCTTTGCTTAGCCCACAATTCTCCATTTCACTTGACCCCTGCCCACCTCTCCAACCTTACTGGCTTACTTCCTAGTCTACTTGAGGCTGCAATCACACTGAGGAACTCACAGTTCCAAACATACAAGAGGCTCCCTCTTAACACGGCACTTAGACACGTCCTGTTCCACCTTCCCTCATGCTGTTCCACCTCCCCTCAGAGTATCTTTCAGCCTTCTGTCAGCAGTAAAACTTATATATTTTTTAAAATAATTTCAATGTAGTTTTCCCTCCTTCAAATAAACATGTCTGCCCTCATGGTTTCGGTAATGGGACTCTTTTCTTGCCTAAGACTTCCAGTGTTATCATTACCATGTCCACATAACCCCATCTGTTCTCCACTGGGTTCTCACCCCCGGACTCTGAGTTTCTGGAAGCAGGGTGGAGCCTCATTTGTCTCTGGGACTCCTATTTCCATCCAAAGATGTAGCACATAGGAGGTTCCAAGGATCGTGAATCACATGAACAAGTGATATTCTTACTCTCTGCAGACCTGGAAATCTGGCAGAGTCATTCCAAGATGAAACATTTGTAGAGTCATAGGCCTTGTTAGTCTCATCTACACAGGGACACATATCAACACATCATCTTTCACACTATAAATATACAGTCACTCCTCCATATCTGTGGGGTTTACAGTTCTTTATTGAACCGAGTATAAATCAAAAATATTCAGAGAAAGTATCCACAGAGTTACAAAAAGCAGAACTGTGTTGAATGGACACAAATGAAGCTGTGTGTAGGCTGCATCAGGAATTATAAGTAATCTAGAGATGATTTCATCTATAGAGGAGGATGTGCATAGGTTATTTGCAAACTCTGTGCCATTTCATTTAAGAGGCTTGAGCATCTACAGATTTTGGTATCTGAGTGGAGATCTCGAAACCAATCACCCAGGAATAGTGAAGGATGACCGTATATGACTTTTATTTCTCAAATTTAAATATAAATCATAAAAAATGTACAACTAGATAAAAACTAAGAAGTGTTTTTATAGTGTGAGTTAGATTTATTTTTTCCTAGGTATAACCCATTGGTTTAATATTATTTATTGAGAAGACATTCTATGCCACCTTAAACCACACGGCAGCCTTTGTCAACTCTAAAGGGACTGTGTGTACATGGATGTACTTTAGACACTGTTTCTGCTAAGGGGCTCTCTGTGTCCACACTCTTGATGATGCTGCACTTTATGTAGCCTTATAGAACCCTTTAAATTTAGTAGCCAGAGCTCTCTAATTTGTTATTATAGGCTATTTGCTTTTTTTTCTTGAGGCGGAGTCTTGCTCTGTCGCCCAGGCTGGACTGCAGTGACACAATCTCAGCTCACTGCAACTTCTGCCTCCCAGGTTCAAGCGATTCTCGTGCCTCAGCCTCTTGAGTAGCTGGCGTTACAGGTGCCTGCCACCAGGCACGGCTAATTTTTGGATTTTTAGCAGAGACACGGTTTCACTATATTGGCCAGGCTGCTCTCAAACTCCTTATCTCAGTTGATCCGCCCACCTCGGCTTCCCAACGTGCTGGGGAAACTTGATTTTCTATAGCATTATGTTACTGGATATTTCTGTAAAATTTAAAATGAGGGAGGGAGAGAGACAGACGGAAAACAAACTCCAGAGTTGGGACTCTGGAATCTTGGGTCATGAGACAAATTTTAGATTAAACTACAAAACTCCAGAATTTACAGGTGGGGTTTTTACTGATAAAGTACAATTCTAAGATTGTAAATAATTGCATAATCCTTCCCTGGGAATTTAAATCATTTTAACTGGTTCTGCTGTAATACTAGAAATACAAGCATGAAAAATTCTAATGGTTTGTTAGTCACAATGACTCTGAAAACATTAATAATACCTATTAGATATTTTGCATATTACACAGGAAGAAGAGTTTGAATCTCAGATAAAAACAATAGAAATACATGAAAAGTCTTTCATGTTAGCACAGATTTTAGGCATCTCGTGTTCGGGAGGTTGGATCTCAGACGTGTTTTGAGTTGGTCATAGTGAAGGACACTAGGTGTCAAATTCTAGCGAGAACAATTTCCAGGAAGCCGTGTTCCGCTCTTGAGCGAGCACCCACTGGGCCTCATGCAAGGTAGAAAGAGCCTGCGTACGTCACCCTCCCATGATGTGGTCAACATGTAAACTGCATGGGCAGGGCGCCAAATAACATCCTGTGCGCTGCTGAGCTGAGCTCGGTCGCGGCTGCCTGTCTGCTCCGGCAGCACCATGTCGCTCTTGGTCGTCAGCATGGCGTGTGTTGGTGAGTCCTGGAAAGCAATAGAGGGAGGGAGCGCGGGGATGGAGATCTGGGCCCAGAGGTGGAGATATAGGCCTGGAGGTGGAGTTATGGGCCTGGAGTGGAGATCTGGGCCTGGAGTGGATATATGGGCCTAGAGATGGAGTGATGGGCCTAGAAGTGGAGATCTGGGCCCAGAGGTCGAGATATAGGCCTGGAGGTGGAGTGATGGGACTGTAGTGGAGATCTGGGCCTGGAGTGGAGATAGGAACCTGGAGGGGAGATAGGAACCTGGAGGGGAGATATGGGCCTGGAGGTGGAGATATGGGCCTGGAGTGGAGTCATGGGCCTGGAGGTGGAGTTACGGGCCTGCAGTAGAGATATGGGCCTGAAGTGGAGACATGGGCCTGGAGTGGAGATATGGGCCAGGAGTGGAGATATGGGCCTAGAGGTCGATATCTGGGCCTGGAGTGGAGATATGGGCCAGGAGTGGAGATATGGGCCTAGAGGTCGATATCTGGGCCTGGAGAGGAGATATGTGCCTAGGATGGAGATACGGGCCTGGGTGTGGAGATATGGGACTGGAGAGGATATATGGGCCTGGAGTGGAGATATGGGACTGGAGAGGAGATATGGACCTGGAGTGGAGATAAGGGCCTGGATTGGAGATATGGGCCCAGGGTGGAGATCTGAGCCTGGATTGGAGATATGGGCCTGGATTGGCGATATGGGCTTAGGGTGGAAATATCGGCCTGGAGTGGAGATATGGGCCTGGAGTGGAGATATGGGCTTGAGGTGGGGATATGGACCTGGAGGCTGGGTCTCTGCACAGCCGACAGCCCTGTTCTTGGGTGCAGGTAGGCACTGAGGGTGAGTTTACCTTCAGCCCAGGAAGGGCCTGGCTACCAAGACTCACAGCCCAGTGGGGGCAGCAAGGGTGCCCTGGTTTGCCTGCAGATGGGTCATCCATCATGATCTTTCTTTCCAGGGTTCTTCTTGCTGCAGGGGGCCTGGCCACATGAGGGTGAGTCCTTCTCCAAACCTTCGGGTGTCATCTCCCCACATAAGAGGATTTTCCTGAAATGGGAGGGAAGTCCTGTCAGGGAGTCTCTCATAAACTAGGAAGAAGGGACCCTGGGGTGCTGGGCCCACATTTCTGACCTTGCCTCCCTGGCCTTTCATTCCCTTGGCAGAGTCAAGTTCTGTGGGGACCAGGGTTAGACTACGGTGCTCAAAGCTGGGGTGTGTGGTGGGGAAGTGGTAGGAACAGCAGATCCTCTGAGGACAAAGGTGTTACTCACACACTTCAGCGTTTCCATGACGGTAGGGGCTGCAGTGTGGCTGCTGTCATTCTACCAGAAGAGGTGGGAAAACCACAGCCATGGCCCTGACATTCCAATCCTCTGATGGGGACTCAGTTGTTTATTTTCGTTCAGGCATCAGCTGATATTCCATTCTCAAAGGACATGCCCTCCACCCCATGTCTACCCTGTGTTGTTTTATGTGAGTAATCTTACAGTATTAAAATCTAGTAGGAGTCTCTTACTCAGCACTTGCTCAAAGTTCTCAGCTGACACTTTTGTTGTAGGGAGACACCTTGTGTTTGCGGGATGGGTCCTTCCTTTAGCCCTGGGCACCAAGGTGTGATAGCAGCCATAGAAACTTGGAAAGCGAGGAGAATCTTCAGAGCACAGGGAGGGAGGGGTGGCTCCACATCCTCCTCTCTAAGGCGGTGCCTCCTTCTCCCCAAGGTGGTCAGGACAAGCCCTTGCTGTCTGCCTGGCCAAGCCCTGTGGTGCCTCCAGGACATGTGATTCTTCAGTGTCATTCTTATCTTGGGTTTAACAACTTCAGTCTGTAAAAGGAAGATGGGGTGCCTGTCCCTGAGCTCTACAACATAATATTCTGGAACAGCCTTTTCATGGGCCCTGTGACCCCAGCACACGCAGGGACCTATACATGTCGGGGTTCACAACCACACTACCCCAGTGGGTGGTCGGCACCCAGCAACCCCCTGGAGATCACGGTCACAGGTCAGAGGGCTCCTGTCTGGGATTCTCCTTGTCCCACCTCCTGAATCCCAGAGCTCCTGGTGGGCGTGTCCTTGCGGGTCCCATCATGCAAGTCCTGACTGTATTTGGGGTAAAGGGGGATTGAATACAGGGAAATGGGTGCTGTGGTGGGAAGCACTGTGTTGTCCCCAGTGATGACTACATTCTAATCCCTGGAGTCTGTGACTATTTATGATATAGGGGAAGGGACTGAAGGAGAAGATGGAGCTCAGGTTGTTGATGAGTTGACCTTGAGATGGGGAGAAGGCCTGGACTGTCCTGATGGGCTCAGTGTAGTCACAGGGGTCCACATGAAAGGAGGAGGAAGAGGGGAGTGGGGATTACAGCAGCATAATGGGAGTCTCCATCAGCTTTGAAGGTGGAGGAAGTCCAGGA
Organism: Homo sapiens; assembly: GCF_000001405.40. Classification (NCBI taxonomy): domain Eukaryota; kingdom Metazoa; phylum Chordata; class Mammalia; order Primates; family Hominidae; genus Homo; species Homo sapiens. The sequence goes on along the minus strand of NT_187636.1, from coordinate 130,443 downwards.
GCCATGAATGCAGGTGGCCTATAGAGGCTGGAAAAGTCAAGGAACTGATTCTCCTGAGTCTCCAGAGGGAACGAAGCCCTGCAGGTACCTTGATTTTACCCACGACAAACAGGGTCCGATTTCTGTCTCCAGAATTGGAAGGGGTTAGTGTGCTCTCTCCTGCTGCCATGCTTCTGATAATTTTCTACAGCAGCAACAGGAAACCAACACTGGAACCCAGGTCAAGGACAGGTTAAGAAACAACACAAGGATAGCCAGGCATGGTGGCAGGTGCATGTAATCCTAGCGACTTGGGAGGCTGAGGGCAGGAGAATCACTTGAACCCAGGAGACAGAGGTTGCAGTAAGCCTAGACCACACCACTTCACTCCAGCCTGGGCAAAGGAGTGAGACTCTGTCGCCAAAATTAATTAATTAATTAAAGAAACCAAACAAGGAGAAGGTTGGCTACACTGAGATCAGCAAGGCTCGGATGATGATGCCACCACCAGGCTCCATCCACATAGGGAGCGGTTGATACTCCTCCAACCAGCACCAGGAGCCAGGCTATGGAAGCTGGCACTGGCATGGCAAGAGTGTCTCCCAGTCCCTACCAGGAACAGGGTGTGTGGCCACTGGTGCCTGCCTTACTGATCAGTTCATACCTCCTGCCAAGGATTCCAATTCGTCCAAAAGAGATTGAACCAGGCTGCTAAGAGCCTGGATGTGCAGCCTATCCTGGTTCCTCTTCCACCCCCACACAGACAGCAGGAAAGACATTAGTTCGAAATAGATACAACAGCCCAAGAGATGAGGCTGAGCCCAGCGGCAAGGGAATCAGAGGCTACTAGAGACAGAGGGACAGAGAAGAGTGAGGGAGACAGATGGAAGGACCTGCACCAGGAGTTATGGGCACAGAAAAGAACATGAAGACACAGAGAGGAAGGAGAGAGATAAGACACCAGGAAGGGGAAGCCTCACTCAATCCAGGTGCCATGGATGGGATGATAAAGAGAGACACCTTCTAAACTCACAACCTCTCTTCCTAGGAGTCCACAGAAAACCTTCCCTCCTGGCCCACCCAGGTCGCCTGGTGAAATCAGAAGAGACAGTCATCCTGCAATGTTGGTCAGATGTCATGTTTGAACACTTCCTTCTGCACAGAGAGGGGATGTTTAACGACACTTTGCGCCTCATTGGAGAACACCATGATGGGGTCTCCAAGGCCAACTTCTCCATCAGTCGCATGACGCAAGACCTGGCAGGGACCTACAGATGCTACGGTTCTGTTACTCACTCCCCCTATCAGGTGTCAGCTCCCAGTGACCCTCTGGACATCGTGATCATAGGTGAGAGTGTCCAGACTTTCTTCTCATTGTCATTGGGATGCAGAGTGAATGATCCAGGACTTGGAGGCCCAGGTGGCTGTAAGGAAGATGAGCTTGGTATTCTTATGGAGAGAGACTGACTTGGTGAGGTCTGTGCCAACAGAGACAGAGAAACAGGAGACACAAGTAGAGACCAGGTGTCATAACAGAGAACAGACACAGGGGCCATACCGGGAGTTTGAAAAGACAGAAAGAGTTAAAGGAGACACACAGACAGACATGTCCCAGAGAGAGGTGTCCCTCCATGCTGACTTTGCTCAGAGACCTGGCACAGGTTAGAAGTTTCATTTCTGTTTTACCTCCACAAAGTGTTCTCTACCAGGAGAACCCAAGGACACCCATATTTCTGACCTGAGTTGGGCCCTGTGGCCTCAGGCCTTGTGGCACCTACAGATGCCATGTTTATTCTGACACCTCTGCCTTCCATGTAATGGAGAGTAATCGTCCCAGGATATCATGGCCCCACAACACCAACCCCTGTATGCTGTGTGAACTTGTAGTCTCCAGACTGGATTCTGAGGCTCATATTCCAAATAAGCCCACTTATGAGAGGATCAGTGAGAGGCACAGAGAGAAATCAGGGACACCAAAAAGCAAAGACATAAACACACAGAGAATGAGCCAGAGGAAGGAGATTGAGCGACTCACAGACACATAAAGAGAGAGAAAAGAGGGCAGAGAAGTGAGAATGATGGAAGGGAGCAGAGAAAATCACTAAAGTTAGACTCCTGAGGGAGAGGCACAAGGACATTGAAAGATGGAGATGTGGGGATGAATTGCAGAGATTCCAAAGAGAACTAGAGAGACCGAGAGGCAGAGCAAGACAGATGATAGATGGATAGATATAGATAGATGATAAATAGGTAGATGATAGATAATAGGTTATAGATACATAGATGATGATTGATTGATTCATTAATAGATGAGACATAGAGATGATGATGATGAAGACACATAGATAGATAATACATAGAGATACAGAGGCAGACATAGAGAAATCATAGAGAGAGAGAGATGATACATAGATATAGATAATAGATGATTGATGGATAGATAGACAATTGATGGATAAATAGATGATATATAGATATAGATGACAGGTAGAGAATTTGTAGATAGGCACCGAATAGATAAATAGATAGATCGATAGATAATAGATAGAAATATGCAGAAAGTTATGAACAGGACACAAAGTGAGAAACTCAGAATTAAAAAAAGTAACATCAAGTCAACCAATCCAAGGAGAGTCAGAGAGAATAAAACAATCCAAAAAGAGAAAACATATCTAGAGGTGGGGAAGTGAGGTCAGAGACCTAGAGAGACAGAGAAGGTGGAAGGAGGAAATAGACATGAAGAGCGATGGGGTAGAGGGTGAGAGAGAGAGAGAGAGAGCATTAGGTCATAGAACAGGGGAGTGAGTTCTCAGCTCAGGTGAAGGGAGCTGTGACAAGGAAGATCCTCCCTGAGGAAACTGCCTCTTCTCCTTCCAGGTCTATATGAGAAACCTTCTCTCTCAGCCCAGCCGGGCCCCACGGTTCTGGCAGGAGAGAATGTGACCTTGTCCTGCAGCTCCCGGAGCTCCTATGACATGTACCATCTATCCAGGGAAGGGGAGGCCCATGAACGTAGGCTCCCTGCAGGGACCAAGGTCAACGGAACATTCCAGGCCAACTTTCCTCTGGGCCCTGCCACCCATGGAGGGACCTACAGATGCTTCGGCTCTTTCCGTGACTCTCCATACGAGTGGTCAAAGTCAAGTGACCCACTGCTTGTTTCTGTCACAGGTGAGGAAAGCCCATGGCTGTCCCATGTCCTATGATCCTAGAGCCTTAGCTGAGGAGCTTCCTGCTGATGATGGAGAGAAGCATGGACAGATGCAGAGAGAAGACGCAGCCTCGGTGTGAGGGAGGGATCAGGGCACAGGATGGCCGACAGGGCACCTCCAAACCCTCCTACATGGCCTGCATGGAGGCCCACGGCCAGGGCTCCAGGCACCCAGGCAGATGGAGAAAGCGGTCAGGAGAGACCCAGAGGAGGGAGACTGGGCTCAGTTTGGGGAGATCAGAGGTTCCCTCAGCCCCTCAACCTTACCCATTTCCCAGAAGCCCATCCTGGCCTCTCACCCACACAGAGATGTCATCACCAGCAACCCCTACACCCTTTACTTTTCTTTGAAGAAATATTTATTGAGGATAAATATACCTATATAGCTTACCACTTTTAACATTTTTTTTTGAGGTGGAGTCTAGCTGTGTCCCCTATGCTGGAGTGCAGTGGCACAATCTCAGCTCACTGCAACCTCCACCTCCTGGGTTCAAGCGATTCTCCTGCCTCAGCCACCTGAGTAGCTGGTGCTACAGGCACGCACCACCACGCCAGGCTACTTTTTGTATTTTTAGTAGGGAGGTGGTTTCACCATGTTGGTCGAGCTGGTCTCGAACTCCTGACCAAGTGATCCACCCGCATCTGCCTCCCAAAGTGCTGGGATTACAGGCATGGGCCACCGCGCCCAGCCACATTTACCATTTTTAAGTGTAAAGTCTAGTGGTCATAAATACATTTATATACATATATATATATACATTTTTTTTACCCTCCACCCTTTTCTTCCTGTCCTCCAGTAGCCACCATTCTACTCTCTACCTTCATGAGATCCACCTTTTAGCTCCTGTATATGGGTGAGAAATGGGAATCTTTGTAATGACCTCCAGTTCCATCCATGTGGCTGCAAATGACAGGATGTTATTCTTTCTATGGATGAGTAGTCTCCACTATGCGTATGTACTACATTCTCTCTATCCATTTACCCACTGATGGGCAGGTAGGTTGACTCCTCATCTTGGCTACTGTGAACAGTGCTGCACCAATCATACGAGTGCAGATATCACTTCGATATATTGATTTACTTTCCTTTGGATATAAACCCAGTAGTGAAATTGCTGGATACTATGAAAGTTCTCTTTTTTTCTTTTTTTCTTTTTTGAGAAAGAGTTTCCCTCCTTAGCCCAAGCTGGAGTCAAAGTGGTGCGACCTTGGCTCATTGCAACCTACGCCTCCTGGGTTCAAATGATTTTCCTGCCTCAGCCTCCCTAGTAGCTGGGATTACAGGTGCACACCACCATCCCTGGCTACTTTTTGGTTTTTTTAGTATAGATGGGGTTTCCCCATGTTGGCTGGGCTGCTCTCAAACTCATGACCTCAACTGAGGTGCCCGCCTCAGTCTCCCAAAGTGCCGGGATTACAGGCATGATCCACCGCACCCAACCTCTTTTTAGTTCTTTAAAGGACTTCCATACTTTTCTCCGTAATGGCTGTACTAATTTACACTCCTCCCAACAGGGTACCAGGGTTCTCCTTTCTCTACCACCTTGCCAGCATTTCTTTTGCCTGTCTTGCAGCTAAAAGCCATTTTATTTTATTTCATTTTATTTTGAGATGGAGTTTTGCTCTTCTCACCCAGGCTGGAGTGCAGTGGCGCGATCTCGGCTCACCACAACCTCCACCTCCCAGGTTCAAGCGATTCTCCTGCCTCAGCCTCCCGAGTAGCTGGAATTACAGGCACACGCCACCACGCCCGACTAATTTTTGTATTTTTAGTAGAGACAGCGTTTCTCTATGTGGGTCATACTGGTCTCAAACTCCCGACCTTATGAGATTCACCCACCTCAGGCTCTCAAAGTTCTAGGATGACAAACGTGAGCCACCTCACCCGGCCTAAAAGCCATTTTAATGGGGTGAGATGAAAACTCACTTTGAATTTAATTTGCGTTTCTCTGATGATGAGTGATACTGAGCAGTTTTTCGTATGTGGGGAAATTTCATGTCTTTTGCTCCTTTTTCAATTAAATCATTTGTTTTATTGAGTTGTTTGAGCTTCTTATATTTCTAGTTATTAATCCCATCTCAGATGCATAGTTTGCACATATTTGCTCCCAATCTGTGGGTTGTCTCTTCACTTTGTTGGTTTATTTTTAGCGGTGCAGAAGTTGCTTAGTATGAGGTAATCCCAATGGTCTATTTTTGCTTCGATTACTTGTGTTTTCAAGGTTTAAAACAAAATGTCTTTCTTCAGACAAGTGTCCTGGAGCATTTCCCCAATATTTTGTTCTACGTGTTTCATAGGTTCAGGCCTTAGACTCACATCTTTAATCCATTTTCATTTGATTTTTGTGTATGGTGACAGGTAGAGGTGCAGTTTCATTCCTCTGCATGTAGATGTCCAGGTTTCCCTGCACTGTTTATTGAAAAGACTGTCCTTTCCTGATTGTGAGTTCTTGGCATCTTTGTCAAAGTCCATTGGATGGGCTGGGCTTGGTGGCTAACACCTGCAATTTCAGCACTTTGGGAGCCCAAGGTGGGTGGATCACCTGAGGCCAGGAGTTCAAGATTAGTCTGGCCGACGTGATGAAACATCATCTCCACTAAAAATATAAAAATTAGCTGAGCATGGTGGTCAGCACCTGTAATACCACTACTCAGGAGTTTGAGGCAAGAGAATGATTGAACCCAGGAGGCTGAGGTTGCAGTGAACCGAGATTGCACCTTTGCACTCCAGCCTGAGTGACAGAGCAAGACTCCATCTCAAAAGAAAAAATAAAAAACCATTGGATGTAAATGCATGGAATATATCTGTGTTATTCATTCTGCTCCGTTGTTCTATGTGCCTTTCTTTATGCCAATGTCATGCTATTTTGCTTACTACAGCTCTGTAACATATTTTGAGATCAGGTAGTGTGATGCTCCTGTTTTCTCTTTATACCTTGAAGTCTCAAGACAGTGGGTGTCACATAAAAAAATTATGGAAAAAAGGATCCCAGGACTCCCAGGGCCCAATATTAGATAACAGAGTGTTGGCCATGAACCATCCTCAAAGATTTCCACTGAGTGGAGGACAGAAACCCTCATTTCCTCACCTCTCTCCTGTCTCATGTTCTAGGAAACCCTTCAAATAGTTGGCCTTCACCCACTGAACCAAGCTCCGAAACCGGTGAGTACAGAACCCTCTTATATCCGCTTTTGGAAACCTGGGGAGGTGGAAACCTTGGATTCAGGCGTTGACTCAGCATCTCACAGCTCTGACATTGTACACCTGTCTTCCACCATCTCCGAACTCCAGATACTCCTACAGCGAAAGGGATCTGGGCCCAACACAGGGCTCAGTGAAATCTCTTCATCTCTCATTTTATGGAGCTGAGACCTCCTACAAGCTAGAAGAATGATTGCCAATCTGACATCCTTCTCAGGAAAAATGCAATGTTTGTTCTGCCTGCATTCCTAACTGGAGGATAAATTCCTGGAGACTTGAGAGAGGGAAGGGAAGGGAACATCTGATGAGGGCGAGGTGTTTTAGAGAAGTTCCACTTGCCAAGGAATGAGCTCCTGTAGGTCATGAAGCAACCCTGGCTGACTCAGCAGAGCAAGAGCCTTGCCGTAACAGAGAACAGAGCTCATGCACGCACACTTCGACTCACTGACTCATTCAGCCACGGCCCCATGCTCAGGCTGTGCAGTGCGGAACCTTTTCCTATTGTTGCCATAACAAATTTCCACAAGATTCGTGGGTGAAAACAAAACGGTTTTTTAATTATCTTACAGTGCTGTAGCTCAAAGTAGGAAGTGCATCTTACTGGGCTAAAATCAAGGTGACAGCAAGGCTGCCTTCCCTCTGAGGATTCCAGGCACGAATCTGCTTCTCACTTGTCCCAGCTTCTAAAGGCTCCCAGTTCCTTGGCTCCTGGTCCCCTTCCTCCTTCCTCAAAGCCCACAAAGACTGGTCACATCTCACATGGCATCACTCAGTGCCTTCTTCCTTACCACACTTCTTTCTCTGAATGCTGCTCTCCCTTCTTCCTCATCTTTTGAAAACTTGGGGATTCTATTGGGTTCACCAAGATGAAAATCCCTCATAATCTCCTGGAAATCATCCAGGATACCCTTGTTTTAAGTTCAGCTGATTAGTAACCATAATTCCATCTGCAATCTTCATTCCTCCTTTCCATGTAAAATAACATATTCACAAGCTATGGAGGCTAGGACAGGGACATTTTGGGGTGGGACAGCATTCTCCTGCCTTCCACAAACAGTGAACAAGATGCATTTGGCCTCTGCCCTTGGGACACTGATATTGCAGATGGTTAAATGGGAGGGCAGAAAATGAATGCACAAGTGGATCTATAAATGAATGATCCATTGGGAAGCATCTGTGCGTGAAATCTATTTTTTGTTTGTTCTTTTGTTTATTGAGACAGAGTCGCCCTCTGTCTTCCAGGCTACAGTGCAGTGTCACGATCTTGGCTCACTGCAACCTGCGTCTCCTGGATTCAAGTGATTCTCCTGCCTCCGCCTCTCGAGTAGCTGGGATTACAGGCAACTGCCACCGTGCCCGGCTAATTCTTTTTGTATATTTTTTGTAGAGAGGATGTTTCACCACGTTGGCCAAGCTTGTCTGAAACTCCCAACCTCAAGTGATCCGACCGTCTCAGCATGCCAAAGTAATGGGACTACAGGCGTGAGCCACTGTGCCCAGCCAGAATTCAAAATCAATAATAGATAATGCTGAGTGTATGATTTCAGGTGACAAAGAAGGTCTCACTATTCAGATATTTGTGACATTAATGAAAAACACGGATTGAACCCCTGAAAGATTGGCGGAAGGATTTTGCACACACAGCTGTCAGCCGTGAAGGCACAAAGGTGAAAACAATCTGATATGGAAGGAAGAGGCTCTGCCTCAAATGCTGGGAATGATGTGGGGAGAATGACAAGATGACTGTAGAGAGACGGAGAGCACACTGGGTACACAGGAAACTAAGGAGCAACAAGGAGTGTGTGTTTGACACTCACAGCCATTGAATTCACCTCGGGGTAACTAGGAATCCCTACATGATTAATATGACTGACATGAAAATAAGGGAGGCTCAGTTGCATAACTGGAATCTAGGAGACCGTGGAAAAGGCAATTGCCGCCCCACTGGTGAAATGTGGTGCTGATTTAGACACTAAATGAATGAAGTAGATGGATATAAGATATGTTTGTGAGGTAGAATCATTGACTGGAAACGCTTACTGGGTTTGATTTTCCTACTTGTTTAATCCTCGCTTAATTAATTTCTTTCTGAGATTTATTCATCCTACACATAAATCAATACCTGGCAAAGGAGTGACAGATATATGAGGGGTGGTGGAAATGAAGGGACCTATTATAGCATAATATACAAGTCTGTGAACGGTGGCTCACGCCTGTAACCCAGCACTGCAGGAGGCCAAGGCGGGTGGATCACATGAAGTCAGCAGTTCGAGACCAGCCTGGCCAACATGGTGAAACCCTGTCTCTAGGAAAAACACAAAAATTAGCCGAGCATGGTGGTGCATCCCTGTAATCCCAGCTCCTACTCTGGAGGATGAAGCAGGAGAATGACTTCAACCCAGGAGGTGGAGGTTGCAGTGAGTGGAGGTTGCATCACTGCACTCCAGCCTGGGTGGCACAAGGAGACTCCGTCTCAAAAAATAAAAATAAGAAATGCATAAATATAAATATAATATAACACACGCAAATGACAAAGGGACCTGAATTCCAATCATGATTTTTCTATTTCTCTATAATTACTTCTTTGATCCTTTATCTTATCCATTAGGCAATGAGCCTAAAACCTCTTCCCTATTTGGCTTTCTGTGAGCATGAGATCACATAGAAAATGTGAAAGCCCGCTGAATCCTCCAGCACAGATCCTGGAATAGAGAAAGTGCTCTGGTCATCACAAAAAAAACTTGCCCACTCACCCAAATCCCCCACCTCACCCCTACTTCCAATCACCTGTGGAGATTCAGATAGACCATGGGGAGGTAAACATTAACACTCCTTGGAGTGAGTCCAGATCTTGGAATCAGAGATCAGCGACAGCACTAGCTCCTGCTCCCCTTTCCTACTAATTCACAGGAGGACAGGTGGTTTTGAAGCAATAGATGGCCGAGGGGGTGGTCCTTCCCCCAGCCTCTCGGGTAGAACAGCAGCCTAATATGTGTCTCCCGAGATCACAAAGAGCAGCAGGTTTCACACGGGCTTCAACACTATTTCCTGGCCGTTTGACATAAGAGAATTCTATTTCGCTTTTTTTATCTTGATTTCACTTTTGTTTTCTTTCCTTGGAGAATGCAAGTTGTTTGATTCAAGAATGCTGTGGATGTAGAAACCCTAAAGCACATTCGCTGTGAATCAATCCCAGTCCAGTCTTCCCAGAGAAGACTCTAAACACCTCCTGGACTGCACCTGGGCCTATGCCAATTCCTATCACTCACCGTCACTCCAGGGAGACAGAACACACAGAGAATACGTTACATAGGCAGGTTCATTACTAACAGATAAGCAGCGAGTGACAACAGAAACCTATATTTCAATGTGACCCAGTCCCTCAAGGCTCAGAAAAGCTCCTCGGGACATATGGAGTCACCCCATTTGCAGTGTAGCTGCGGGAAGCCAGAAAGCAGCCCAGCCTGGGTTTTGTACCCTGGAGCCACAGGAAGCACTCAGCTAAAGCACTGCATGACGTCCTCCTCCAGGAAGAACAGGAAGACAGCCCAGGCTGTTCTGAGACGTTCCTCCTGATCTCAGGAAGTTGCTGTCTTAGGCCATTTTTGTTGCTCTAAAGGAACACTTGAGCCTCGGTAACTTCTAAAGAAAAGAGATTGGTTTGTCTCACCGTTCTGCAGGCTGTACTGGAAGCATGGCACCAGCATCTATTTCTCGTGACGGCCTCAGGCTGCTCCCACTCTGGCAGAAGGGAAGGAGGGTCTGTCTGTGCAGAGACCACAGAGATCACACGGCAAGAGAGGGAGCAAGGGGGAGGGGGAGTGATGGAGCTTCCAAGCTCTTTTTAACAACCAGCTCTCCGGGAACTAATAGAGGGGGAACTTGCTAACCCCGTCTCCTTGGGACAGCATTGATGTGTTCATGATGGATCCACCTCCATGACCCAAACACCTCTCAAGAGGCCCAACCTCCCACAGTGGGGGTGAAATTTCAATGTGAGGTTTGAAGGGGTCAAACATCTCAACTAAAGTAGTCGTATCCTCAGCACGTTCTATGGTTACTATGAGAGCTATAACTGAAAAAGCAGGAGAAAGCTGGGTCTCCTGCTATCTGGGTGCTTGTCCTAAAGAGGTGTTTTATGTGGTTACCTGTCAATCAAGAAATGCGAGACAATTCATAAAGAGGAACTGCTAAGATTAGCTTCTTATTGGTGTCTCATCTTCTTCCAGGTAACCCCCGACACCTGCACATTCTGATTGGGACCTCAGTGGTCATCATCCTCTTCATCCTCCTCTTCTTTCTCCTTCATTGCTGGTGCTCCAACAAAAAAAGTAAGTCTCACGAAGCAGAGGCCAGAGAGCTCAGGGCCATGTGGGGAAGCAGGATGGGAGCACTCAGGTGTGTGTTCCTCACAAACAGGATGGTCCCTGGCCCAAGGCAGCAGCCACAGAGGCAGGACTTTCTAGAGAGGGCACCAGACTCCCTGTCCCTGCCTTCAACTCACAGACCGTTGCCTGATTCTGAACTGTATCCTCATGTCCACTGCAGCCACTCACATCCAGGAGAAGGTTCCATGACAGGCAGAAAGTGGGAGACAGAATCAATGGGATGGGAACTCAGAGCTATTCATGGGATGGGTCCTTGAGCTCAGAGAGATAGAATGTCTGAGTCTGCTGTTGGCAACTGAGGGACCTCAGCCACCTATGGTCTCCCCCTGTATGTTGGTATCTGCTTATGAAATGAGGACCCAGAAGTGCCCTCCGAGCTGTTTTGTTGACTTCCGTCTTCTACAGATGCTGCGGTAATGGACCAAGAGTCTGCAGGAAACAGAACAGCGAATAGCGAGGTAGGTACTCCTCGGCCCGGGCTCGTGGCTACTGTTATTCCCAAAGAGTCCTGGAAAATGTGAGCACCCTCCCTCACTCAGCATTTCCCTCTCTCCAGGACTCTGATGAACAAGACCCTCAGGAGGTGACATACACACAGTTGAATCACTGCGTTTTCACACAGAGAAAAATCACTCGCCCTTCTCAGAGGCCCAAGACACCCCCAACAGATATCATCGTGTACACGGAACTTCCAAATGCTGAGTCCAGATCCAAAGTTGTCTCCTGCCCATGAGCACCACAGTCAGGCCTTGAGGGCGTCTTCTAGGGAGACAACAGCCCTGTCTCAAAACCGGGTTGCCAGCTCCCATGTACCAGCAGCTGGAATCTGAAGGCATGAGTCTGCATCTTAGGGCATCGCTCTTCCTCACACCACAAATCTGAATGTGCCTCTCACTTGCTTACAAATGTCTAAGGTCCCCACTGCCTGCTGGAGAAAAAACACACTCCTTTGCTTAGCCCACAGTTCTCCATTTCACTTGACCCCTGCCCACCTCTCCAACCTAACTGGCTTACTTCCTAGTCTACTTGAGGCTGCAATCACACTGAGGAACTCACAATTCCAAACATACAAGAGGCTCCCTCTTAACGCAGCACTTAGACACGTGTTGTTCCACCTTCCCTCATGCTGTTCCACCTCCCCTCAGACTAGCTTTCAGTCTTCTGTCAGCAGTAAAACTTATATATTTTTTAAAATAACTTCAATGTAGTTTTCCATCCTTCAAATAAACATGTCTGCCCCCATGGTTTCGGTAATGGGACTCTTTTCTTGCCTAAGGCTTCCGGTGTTATCAGTACCATGTCCATATAATCCCATCTGTTCCCCACTGAGTTCTCATCCCCGGACTCTGAGTTTCTGGAAGCAGGGTGGAGCCTCATTTGTCTCTGGGACTCCAATTTCCATCCAAAGATGTAGCACATAGGAGGTTCCAAGGATCACGAATCATATGAACAAGTGATACTCTTACTCTCTGCAGACCTGGAAAGCTGGCAGAGTCATTCCACAATGAAACATTTGTAGAATCATAGGCCTTGTTAGTCTCATCTCCATGGGGACACATATCAACACATCATCTTTCATAATATAAATATACGGTCACTCCTCCATATCTGCGGGGTTTACAGGTGTTTATTGAACCAAGTATAAATCAAAAATATTGAGAGAAAGTATCCACAGAGTTTCAAAAAGCATAACTATGTTGAATGGACACAAATGAAGCTGTGTGTAGGCTGTATCAGGAATTATAAGTAATCTAGAGATGATTTCATGTATACAGGAGGATGTGCATAGGTTATTTGCAAACGCTGTGCCATTTCATATAAGAGGCTTGAGCATCTACAGATTTTGGTATCTGAGTGGAGATCTCAAAACCAATCACCCACGAATAGTGAAGGATGACCGTATATGACTTTTATTTCTCAAATTTAAATATAAATCATAAAAAATGTACAACTAGATAAAAACTAAGAAGTGTTTTTATAGTGTGAGTTAGATTTATTTTTTCCTAGGTGTAACCAATTGGTTTAATATTATTTATTGAGAAGACATTCTATGCCACCTTAAACCACACGGCAGCCTTTGTCAACTCTAAAGGGACTGTGTGTACATGGATGTATTTTAGACACTGTTTCTGCTAAGGGGCTCTCTGTGTCCACACTCTTGATGATGCTGCACTTTATGTAGCCTTATAGAACCCTTTAAATTTAGTAGCCAGAGCCCTCTAATTTGTTATTATAGGCTGTTTGCTTTTTTTTTCTTGAGGCGGAGTCTTGCTCTGTCGCCCAGGCTGGACTGCAGTGACACAATCTCAGCTCACTGCAACCTCCGCCTCCCAGGTTCAAGCGATTCTCGTGCCTCAGCCTCTTGAGTAGCTGGCGTTACAGGTGCCTGCCACCAGGCACGGCTAATTTTTGGATTTTTAACAGAGACACGGTTTCACTATATTGGCCAGGCTGCTCTCAAACTCCTTATCTCAGTTGATCTGCCCACCTCGGCTTCCCAACGTGCTGGGGAAAACTTGATTTTCTATAGCATTATGTTACTGGATATTTCTGTAAAATTTAAAACGAGGGAGGGAGAGAGACAGACAGAGAGCAAACTCCAGAGTTGGGACTCTGGAATCTTGGGTCATGAGACAAATTTTAGATTAAACTACAAAACTCCAGAATTTACAGGTGTGGTTTTTGCTGATAAAGTACAATTCGAAGATTGTAAATAATTGCATAATCCTTCCCTGGGAATTTAAATCATTTTAGCTGGTTCTGCTGTAATACTAGAAATACAAGCATGAAAAATTCTAATGGTTTATTAGTCACAATGACTCCGAAAACATTAATAATACCTATTAGATACTTTGCATATTACACAGGAAGAAGAGTTTGAATCTCAGATAAAAACAAAAAAAATACATGAAAAGTCTTTCATGTTAGCACAGATTTTAGGCATCTCGTGTTCGGATAAAAATACATGAAAAGTCTTTCACGTTAGCACAGATTTTAGGCATCTTGTGTTCGGGAGGTTGGATCTGAGACGTGTTGTGAGTTGGTCATAGTGAAGGACGTGAGGTGCCAATTCTAGTGAGAACAATTTCCAGGAAGCCGTGTTCCGCTCTTGAGCAAGCATCCACTGGGCCTCATGCAAGGTAGAAAGAGCCTGCGTACGTCACCCTCCCATGATGTAGTCAACATGTAAGCTGCATGGGCAGGGCGCCAAATAACATCCTGTGCGCTGCTGAGCTGAGCTGGGGCGCGGCCGCCTGTCTGCACCGGCAGCACCATGTCGCTCATGGTCGTCAGCATGGCGTGTGTTGGTGAGTCCTGGAAAGGAATAGAGGGAGGGAGTGCCACATCCTCCTCTCTAAGGTGGCGCCTCCTTCTCCCCCAGGTGGTCAGGACAAGCCCTTCCTCTCTGCCTGGCCCAGCCCCGTGGTGTCTGAAGGAGAACATGTGGCTCTTCAGTGTCGCTCTCGTCTTGGGTTTAACGAATTCAGTCTGTCCAAAGAAGACGGGATGCCTGTCCCTGAGCTCTACAACAGAGTATTCCGAAACACCGTTTTCATAGGCCCTGTGACCCCAGCACATGCAGGGACCTACAGATGTCGGGGTTCACACCCACACTTCCTCACTGGGTGGTCAGCACCCAGCAACCCCCTGGTGATCATGGTCACAGGTCAGAGGGCTCCTGTCTGGGATTCTCCTTGTCCCACCTCCTGAGTCCCAGAGCTTCTGGTGGGAGTGTCCACCAGCGTCCCATCATCCAGACCCTAACTGTATTTGGGATAAAAGGGGATTGAATACAGGGAAATGGGTGCTGTGGTGGAAAGAATAATTGTCCCCAATGATGACTGCATTCTAATCCCTGCAGTCTGTGACTATTTATGTTATAGGGGAAGGCACTGAAGGGGAAGATGGAGCTCAGGTTGTTGAGTTGACCTTGAGATGGGGAGACAGCCTGGACTGTCCTGCTGGGCTCAGTGTAATCACAAGGGTGCACATGAGAGGAGAAGGAAGAGGGGAGTGGCGATTAGAGCAGTGCAATGGAAGTCTCCATCAGCTTTGAAGGTGGAGGAAGGCCATGAGCCATGAATGCAGGTGGCCTATAGAGGCTGGAAAAGTCAAGGAACTGATTCTCCTGGGTCTCCAGAGGGAACGCAGCCCTGCAGATGCCTTGATTTTAGCCCTCAAAAAACAGGGTCCGATTTCTGTCTCCAGAAACGGAAGGGGTCAGTGTGCTCTCTCCTGCTGCCATGCTTCTGATAATTTTCTACAGCACCAACAGGAAACCAACACTGGAACCCAGGTCAAGGACAAGATAAGAAAGGACACAAGGATAGCCGGGCGTGGTGGCAGGTGCATGTAATCCTAGCAACTCAGGAGGTTGAGGGCAGGAGAATCACTTGAACCCAGGAGACAGAGGTTGCAGTGAGCCTAGACCACACCACTTCACTCCAGCCTGGGTGAAGGAGTGAGACTCTGACTCCAAAATTAATTAATTAATTAAAGAAACCAAACAAAGAGAAGGTTGGCTACACCGAGATCAGCAAGGGTGGGATGATGATGCCACCACCAGGCTCCATCCACATAGGGAGGGGTTGATACTCCTCAAACCAGCACCAGAAGCCAGCCTATGGAAGCTGGCACCATGGAGAAGGCACAGGCATGGCAAGAGTGGCTCCCAGTCCCCACCAGGAACAGGGTGTGTGGACACTGGTGCCTGCCTTACTGATCAGTTCATACCTTCTGCCAAGGATTCCAATTCGTCCAAAAGAGATTGAACCAGTCTGCTAAGAGCCTGGACGTGCAGCCTATCCTGGTTCCTCTTCCACCCCCACATAGAAGCAGGAAAGACATTAGTTCGAAATAGATACAACAGCCCAAGAGATGAGGCTGAGCCCAGCGTCAAGGGAATCAGGAGCTACTAGAGACAGAGGGACAGAGAAGAGGGAGGGAGACAGATGGAAGGACCTGTACCAGGAGTTATGGGCACAGAAAAGAACATGAAGACACAGAGAGGAAGGAGAGAGATAAGACACCAGCGAGGGGAAGCCTCACTCATTCTAGGTGCCATGGATGGGATGATAAAGAGAGATGCCTTCTAAAGTCACAACTTCTCTTCCTAGGAGTCCACAGAAAACCTTCCCTCCTGGCCCACCCAGGTCCCCTGGTGAAATCAGAAGAGACAGTCATCCTGCAATGTTGGTCAGATGTCATGTTTGAGCACTTCCTTCTGCACAGAGAGGGGAAGTTTAATGACACTTTGCGCCTCACTGGAGAGCTCCATGATGGGGTCTCCAAGGCCAACTTCTCCATCGGTCGCATGACGCAAGACCTTGCAGGGACCTACAGATGCTACGGTTCTGTTCCTCATTCCCCCTATCAGTTGTCAGCTCCCAGTGACCCTCTGGACATCGTGATTACAGGTGAGAGTGTCTGGACATTATTCTCATTGTCACTGGGACACAGAGTGAATGATCCACGACTTGGAGGCCCAGGTGGTTATAAGGAAGATGAGCTTGGTATTCTTATGGAGAGAGACTAACTTGGTGAGGTCTGTACCAACAGAGACAGAGAAACAGGAGACACAAGTACAGACCAGGTGTCATAACAGAGGACAGACACAGGGGCCATACAGGGAGTTAGAAAAGACAGAAAGAGTTAAAGGAGACACAGACAGACATGTGCCAGAGAGAGGTGTCCTTCCATGCTGACTTTGCTCAGAGACCTGGCACAGGTTAGAAGTTTCATTTCTGTTTTACTTCCACAAAGTGTTCTCTACCAGAAGAACCCAAGGACACCCATATTTCTGGCCTGAGTTGGGCCCTGTGGCCTCAGGCCTTCTGGCACCTACAGATGCCGTGTTTATTCTGACACCTCTGCCTTCCATGCAATGGAGAGTAATCGTCCCAGGATATCATGGCCCCAGAACATCAACCCCTGTATACTGTGTGAACTTGCGGTCCCCAGACTGGATTCTGAGGCTCACATTCCAAATAACCCCACATATGAGAGGATCACTGAGAGACACAGAGAGAAATCAGGGACACCAAAAAGCAAAGACATAAACACACAGAGAATGAGCCAGAGGAAGGAGATTGAGAGACTCACAGACACATAAAGAGGGAGAAAAGAGGGCAGAGAAGTGGAGAGAACAATGGAAGGGAACAGAGAAAAGCACTAAAATTAGAGTCCTGAGGGAGAGACACAAGGACATAGAAAGATGGAGATGTGGGGATGAATTGCAGAGATTCCAAAGAGAACTAGAGAGACCGAGAGGCAGAGCAAGACAGATGATAGATGGATAGATATAGATAGATGATAAATAGGTAGATGATAGATAATAGGTTATAGATACATAGATGATGATTGATTCATTCATTGATTAATCGATGATACATAGAGATGATGAAGATGAAGATAGATAATACATAGAGATAGAGAGGCAGACAAAGAGAAATCATAGAGAGAGAGAGACGATACATAGATATAGATAATAGATGATTTTTGGATAGACAATTGATAGATAAATAGATTATATATAGATATAGATGACAGGTAGAGAATTTGTAGATAGGCACCAAATAGATAAATAGATATATCAATAGATAATAGATAGAAATATGCAGAAAGTTATGAACAGGACACAAAGTGAGAAACTCAGAATTTAAAAAAAGTAACATCAAGTCAACTAGTCCAAGGAGAGTCAGAGAGAATAAAACAATCCAAAAAGGGAAAACATATCTAGAGGTGAGAAAGTGAGGTCAGAGACCTAGAGAGACAGAGAAGGTGGAAAGAGGAAATAGACATAAAGAGAGATGGTGTGGAGGGTGAGACAGAGAGAGAGAGCATTAGGCCATAGAGCAGGGGAGTGAGTTCTCAGCTCAGGTGGGAGGGGAGTTGTGACAAGGAAGAACCTCCCTGAGGAAACTGCCTCTTCTCCTTCCAGGTCTATGTGGGAAACCTTCTCTCTCAGCCCAGCCGCGCCCCATGGTTAAGGCAGGAGAGAGCGTGACCTTGTCCTGCAGCTCCCGGAGCTCCTATGACATCTACCATCTATCAAGGGAGGGGGAGGCTCATGAACTTAGGTTCCCTGCAGTGCCCAAGGTCAATGGAACCTTCCAGGCCAACTTTCCTCTGGGCCCTGCCACCCACGGAGGGACCTACAGATGCTTCGGCTCTTTCCGTGACTCTCCCTACGAGTGGTCAGACCTTAGTGACCCACTGCTTGTTTCTGTCACAGGTGAGGAAACCAGTCTGTTCCCCAAATAGTGGGACTCAGATGGACTACAATGGCCACATTCAGGGGAGCCTCAGATGGAGGGGGTGGCCATGGGGGTGTCAGCCAGAGATGCTGGACAGAAGAGACACAAAGCAAACATACAGAAAGAGGCATAGACAGACAGACAGAGCGAGGCAGACAGATCACATTAGGGTTTGGGGTGGTAACTGCAACCCTACCTGAAGCTTGCAGATAGAGCACAGGCCACATAAACCACTTCCCAGTCTTTGTACAGAAGCCCACCTGGGACACATGTAAACAGCATCAATGCTGACTCAGGAGCATGAAAGGCCGGGCTCAGATTGGAAAGACTAGAGGTAGCATTGGCCGCCCGCCATTGCCCATTTCCAGAAGCCCCCACCTCTCACCAAAGAGTGATTTCCACATGGGGGGCACAGATGCAACCATCGTTGGGGGAGCCCCAATGTCTCTTGATGGGAGGCATTTTCCACCCTAGATGTTTTTTGCTCTCTCCACACCTTGGAGACTCAGTGGGGGAGTCTTCTCTGGGGACTCGGGGAGGGCCTCCCTGGGACTCGCAGGATTTCCAAGCTAGATGACAACATGACAGGTGGAAACAGGCCCATTCCTTCGCCAGGGGCCCCAAGCTCCATCCCAGGAGATGAGAAGAGGCTCTTCTCATTGGTCAGTGGATCCCTGAGGGGACAGAGGCTCAGCACTGAAGGCTGAGAAGGATCTGCCACTTCGCTCAGTGGCCTCAAGCCAGACATCTTCCCTACAGACTTGCAGTGATTCTCCATCAGCATTTAGGGCTGTGGCCACCAACCTGGGTGTTGGTCTGTAGGAACTTTTCATTTCTGACCTTCCATAACTGAGTTCTCTTCCTAAATGTGGAATGCCTTGTACTCCATGTTACTCTCTCCCCAGAAAGAATGTGTGGCTTGTCTGCTCTCCAGCCCTGTCATGGAGATTGATAATCCTTAGGGAGCAAGAGGAGAGGGAAAGAACAAAGTATGAGACCACCTAGGTGCTACTGGTTGAGGTTCCATTTGCCAGTGAAGGGACTTCACTCAGCCGAGGGGGCAACTCAGGGAAGTCAGCCGAGGGAGGGCATTAGAGTAGAGAGAACTGAGCTCACCCAGTAAATGACCCCTTCACTAACTCATTCATCTAATATTTATTTCACACCTACCATCAGTTCTCTCTGTTTCATGGCCAGGAGTAGACAGCACGGCCAAGCTCCTGGGTTCATGATGCTCACATTGCTGTGGGGTGGGAGAGAGAGGCAGAACATGAATGAATGAATGAGAGAATGAATGAATGAGTGAATGATGGAATGAGTGAATGAATGAATGAATGAATGTATGAATTAGTGAGTGAATCCTTAGCACTTGGTGAAAGTGCCATGCACAGAATGAAATGAATGAACGTGGAACGTTGTCATTTGGAGTGTACAGGAGGGAACGTCTCACTGAGACCTCATCAGAGAGATCACATTTAAACTCCGATCTTAGAGACAAGAGGGAGTGAGCCCTGGGGAGTGTGTTGAAAGGAACTTTCATGGACTTAGGACATTGGGGATGACCCTAATGTGAGAATGAGCTTGGTGTGTTCCAAGAAGTCCATGGACCTGCCATATGGTGAGGGCTGGTCAGAATCCAGAGAGATTTCTAAATGCCCTTGTGCTTGTAAGGAAAGTGAGTCCTGTGGTTGGGAGTGGACTTATACCTTGGGTCAGGTCCAGCAATTATCTTTCTAAATCCTCTCTAATTGCCTGAACCACTTCTATCAACAACTGAGAAAAGAGGAGTGTTAAACACCCCACTGTGGCCGTGGATTTGCCTACCTGTCCATTTATTTCCGCGACTCTTCCTCCATGTATATTTGCAGGAATATTACTGGGAGTGGTTAAGTGTAAACTGATTATATATTCCTGGTAAATTTAAAATGCTATAAATTTACCTGCTTTTTTCCTACATTTTATGCTTAATGTTTTCCGCTGATTTTTCCCAAAGACTAATTTTGTCTAATTTTAATATAGTTATACCACATTTCTAACAGTGATTGCTTGGTATATTTCTACATTGTTTAATTTCAAACTCCATGAATTGTTAACATTGAGATGTGTCCTTTGTAAATTTCAAACAATTCGCCTTAGAAAGTAAGACTTTCTGACAATCTTTTGTTCATGTTTGAGCAGTTCTTCCAATCATATTTTTGTTATTATTACGTTGTGTTTTCCTGATTCCCTTTTTTTCCCACTGACTTCTGTGGTTTTCTATTTCAAACATTCTATTTTTGATCTATGTCGTTTAGGAATACATATATGGTGTACTCATCCTGAAGTTGTTACATATTTTTAAAATTGAAATTAATCATTTCAGAGATTAAACTGCAAATATAAAAACATATTTCCACTCTTCCTGTGTAAGAACAGGATTTTAGAGCATATTTAGTACATATGTTTGTATTTACTTATATGATGTTTTGTTTTGTGGTATACATAATTCTATCTTTTTCAGAAATTACACAGGGGCATGTTTTCATACACTATCGTATGGTCCATATTCATTTTTGGCATAGCCATATTTTTAGTTCTTCCTCTGCTCTTAGTTATTGTCAGAATCTTCGACACCCCATCTGGTTTCACTTTCTTTATCTTTGAGGCACGGTCATCAGAATTTCCTTTAGGGTCAGTGAGAAAAGCTTTCTTTGCCCTTTTGTCTTTCAGTTCTGTTTCTTTCCTGCGTTGATCTTGGACAGTAACTGTACTATGTAAGGAATTGTCGGTGGCTGGCGACGGTATCTTAGCTGGGTAAAGATGCTATTCTACTGGCTTATGTTTTCCTTTTTTCTGTGGGGAAGACAATGCTTGGCTCCCTATAAATCCTTACCAGCTGATCCTTTTCCTCTGGCTAATTTTAAGGGTTGGTTGTGCTTTTATGCTGCTTTTCTGTAATGTTGAACGTGAGGTGTGTTTACTTCATTCTGCCTGGCATTCACTGGATTTCTTGAACCTGTGGATTGATGGATGTGTCTACTTCCTCCAAATAATCAACAATTGCCTCTTTAAAGATTGCTTCTGACCTGTTTTCTCGTTCTTTCTTTTTGGAACTCAAGTTAGGAGCATTCTAAAACTGTTGTCAATTTTTACCCTGTCACAAAACTGCTCTTTCTTGTTTCAGTTATTTGCTTTTTCTGTGCATTAATATTGATGGTTTCCTCTGTCATAGAGGATAAATACTCTCTTCACTGTTGTGTACACAACATTTTAACTAGTTATTCTGGTTTAAATTTAATATTGACTTTATCTACATATCACAATTGATTACTGTGTACAGACTTTCTTTTCTATTAGTATAAATTTATGAGGTACACTTGTAATTTTGTGACATGAGTATGTTGCAGAGTAGTGAAGTCAGGACTTTTACTATATCCATCACCCAAATACCGTACATTGTACTCATTAAGCAAATTCTCATCACTCACCCACGTCCCGCCACCCTCCAGCCTTCTAGCCTCCGCTGTCCGTCATTCCACACTCTACGTCCATATGTACACATTACTCCCCTCCCATGTAGAGTGAGAAGATGTGGTATTTGTCTTTCTGAGTGGTTTTATGTAAAATAATGGCGTCCAGCTCCATCTATGTTGCTGCAAAAGACATGGTTTTATTTTTATGACCAAATAGTATTTCGTTGTGTATACACGCATCCTTTTTTTAATCCAATCATTCATTCACAGACACTTAGATTGATTTCATATCTTTGCTATTGCAAACAGTGCTGCAATAAACATACAGGTGCAGATATTTTTTGAGTAGATACCCAGCAGCGGGACCCCTAGATCGAATGGTGCTTCTATTTTTGGTTCTCTGCCAAATTTCCATACTGTCTTCCATAGAGGCTATACTAATTTACATACCGGCCAACAGTGTATAAGAGTTTCCTTTTCTCTGCATCCTTGCCAACACCTGTTATATGTTTCACTTTTTCTTTTTTTCTTTTTGAGATGGAGTCTTCCACTGTCACCCAGGCTGGAGTGCAGTGCCGCCATCTCCACGCGCTGCAACCTCCACCAACCAGGTTCAAATGATTCTCCTGCCTCAACCTCCTGAGTAGCTGGGATTACAGAACCACACCACCATGCCCAGCTAATCTTTTGTATATTTAGTAGAGATGGGGTTTCACTATGTTGGTCAGGCTGGTCTCAAACTCCTGACCTCATGATCCACCCGCCTCAGCTTCCCAAAGTGCTGGGATTACAAGCGTGAGCCACCACTCCCCACCAGCATTTTTAGTAATAGCCATTCTGACTACTGTAAGATGATATCTCATTGTGGTTTCAATTTGCATTTCTCTGATGATTAGTGATGTTCATACGCTGTTTGGCCATTCGTATGTCTTCTTTTGAAAAATGTCTATGTATATCCCTTTGCCCACTTTTTAATGCTATTATTTGAGGGGTTATGTTTAGTTGTTTGAGTTGCCTAGAAATTCTGGATGTTAGTCCCCTGTTGGGTGCATAGTTTGCAAACATTTCCATTCATTCTGTGGGTTGTCTGTTCACCCTGCTACTATTTCCTTTGCTTGGCAGAAGCTCTTTCGTTTATTAAGTCCCATTGGTCTAGTTTTATTTTTATTGCCTGTGCTTTTGAGGTCTTAGTGATGAATTCTTTGCCCAGACCAATGCCCAGAAGAGTTTCTCTTTGGGTTTCCACCGGTGATTTTATAGTTCTGGATTTACATTTAAGCTGCTAATTACCTTAAGTTAATTTATGTGTATGATTACAGATACAGGTCCAGTTTTATTCTTCTGCATATGGCTATTTAGTTTTCCCAGCACCTTTTATTGAAAAGGAAATCTTTCTCCAGGGTATGTTTTGTTAACGTCGTCAATGATTATTCACTGTAGATATGAGGCTGTATTTCTGGGCTCTCTATTCTGGTCTATTGATCTCTGTTTCTGTGTCTATACCAGCACTGTGCTATTTAAGTTACTATAGCCTTAGAGCATAGTTTGAAGTCAGATAGCGTGATGCCTCCAGGTTTCTACATTCACCTAGAATTGCTTTCTCTATTAGGATCTTTTTTGGTTCTGTATGAATTTTAGGATTGCTTTTTCTAATTCTGTGAAAACTGGTGTTACTATTTTCATATAAGAATTGCACTGAATCTGTAGATTGCTTTAGGCAGTATGGTCATTTTAACAATATTAATTCTTATGATCCATGAGCGTGGGATTTTTTTTCTTTTTTTTTTTGTATTATCTATAATTGCTTTCATTGGTGTCTTACACCTTTCCTGGTACAGATCTTTCACCACCTTGGTTAAATGTATTCCTGAGTGTTTTAATTTTGCGTATCTATTGTAAACGGCATTGCCTTCTTGATTTGGTTCTCAGCTAGATCATTATAGGTGTAGAGAAATGCTACCGGCTTTTACATATTGATTTTGTATTCTGAAACTTTACTTAGTTCATTTATCAATCATAAGAATTTTTGGCAGGGTCTTTAGGATTTTCTAGATTTAAGATCATAGCATCAGAAATAAAAATAATTTTACTTCCTCTTTTCTAATTTGGATTTTTACTTCTTCCTGTTGCCCAATAGCTCTGACAAGGCTTCCAGTACTATGTTGATAGGAAGTGGTGGATGTCCGTGTCCTTGTCTTGTGCCAGTTCTCAGAGGAGTGCTTTTAACTTTTCCTGTTCAGTATGATGTTGACTCTAGATATGTCATCTATGGCTTTTATTATTTTGAGGTATGTTCTTTCTATGCCTAAGTTTTTGAGGGTTTTCATCAGGTAAGGATGTTGAATTTCTTTTCAGATGCTTTTCTTTATGTCTATTGAGATGATCATATGGTTTTTGTTCTGGATTCTGCTCGTTCTTCTAAGTGGATGAGACATGCCAGAAAAGCATTTAGTCAGCCATCTTGGAAACAAGCATCTCAGATGTTTTCTTTCTCTATAGCTCATTCTTTCTTACCAGTGTTTTCAATTTTGTACTTAATTTTGTAAAGAGAGTAAATGATATAATTTCCACATATGTTTCCTCTGCCAAATCAGACTCACTATGCTTCCTTTCCTTGTATGCATAACCTACCCAGCAATACACACAAACATTTATTGCTTTGGAGAATTAGTTTGGGAACATTTTTGAAATGTACAAAAAAATGTATATCTTCAAAAGAAATTTCTTTTTGTGGCAAAAGACTTCTGAAGGTGCTCATGATGATATAGGGAGAAGAGGGGTTCTGGACAGGAAGAATTTTATGAAGGTGAGATGGGGAAATAGCTCCATTTCAGAGCTTCTGGGGAGAGAGGGGCCTGGCCCACATGGAAAGGTCTCTGATCTTACCCCCACCCTCCAGCCCCTGTTCTCCAGAACTATACTGTGGAGAGTTCCATCAGGATTGTTGTGGCTGGTCTGGTCTTCCTGGCTCTTTTGGCAATGCTGGCTAAGACCTGGTGGAGACATGAGGGGCCACAGGTGGAAATGGAAGAAACATGACTGAAGCTGGCTGGAGTGAATGGCGCGACATTCTGTCTGTGGGAGATTGGCCAGATGGGTTTCAAGTGTGTTGTATCAGCTGTGACTTTTAGTAATGTTCTTGCTACCACAATATCCACTCGTCCATCCCGAATAATTGTGATGAAATATTGTCCTTGGGATAATATTCATTTGCTAAAGACAGGGATGATACCTCAAGGTGCCACTATATACATCGAGGGGATCCACAAAAGTCCATTCAGTAAAATGTAGTTGGCATCTTAGGGTAGGTTGATTCCACCTCTAAAAAAGTAGGTACAACATCAGGTTGATTTTTCCGAAGAAAAGTGGTGATTGGCCATCTTTAGTCTCAATGTAAACGGTAATACTGATGAGTGTGGAAAAGGCAGGGAAGAGGATTGACAATAAGTGACACTCATTGTTTTCATCTGAGCTTTGAGACTGAAAGAGGAACACAGGAGTGAGATGTATGGGAACAAACCCCTTCTTTTTCCAGCTAAACAGAGTGGAAGTTGGACACTGAGTTTTGGCGTACAGCAAAATCCTAAGTCCATTGTTGGGTTGAACACGGCCATGTTGTACATCCTGGTTTCACAGCAGACACTGGAGGAAAACAGCCTGTATTCATAAGAGGCTGTCCCTCGGGTCACTGCCCAGAATATCCGGAGTTGGTGCTCACAGGGTTGGGAACTCTCCTGGACCAGACAGGCTCTGGATATGGGGGGGTACCAAGCTCCCCGGGGCCATGCCTCCACAGCTCTCTTCTCACCTCATTCTTGACCATTTCCCAAACCTCTGACCTCACCTTCATTCATCCATGGTGAACACGCTAAAGCTGGCCTTCAAAGCTTGAGACAGAGGAAAATTGGGCTTCATCTCTGGGAACTAAATTGGGGAGTGGAGACTCAGTTCTGGCCTGACAGGAGGGAGAAGACCCTGGATCCCAGTGTGGATGGGAAGAAGTATGTGTTTCTCTTTTGTGCTTGGACCCTGTGTCCAAGCATGTCTGAGATGTGATGAAGATGAATCTTCCTTTCCTTGTCTATTTTCTCATGCCAGAGAATTGGAATCTTATATTCCATTAACTCTTTCTGTTCTGTTCATCCAGATTCTATGAAGGAGAAAGGAAAAGATGTGATACTGTAATTTTGCTCCATTTGTCTAAAATGAGTAGGCTGCAACTCCTCTTGAAGTGATACCTTTTCTAGCTCTTGTTGGAGGTGTCTCAGGACTCA
Source organism: Homo sapiens (assembly GCF_000001405.40). Taxonomy (NCBI): domain Eukaryota; kingdom Metazoa; phylum Chordata; class Mammalia; order Primates; family Hominidae; genus Homo; species Homo sapiens. Next base: position 104,681 of record NT_187636.1, on the reverse strand, counting down.
TTACTTCGGGGAACCTGCAACTGTGTCAGTCTGGGGAAACTGCAAATATTCTTGTCTTACATTTGTCTCCAGCCAATTGTGATGGACTCCAGTGACCTGCAATTGCTGTTATTGCAGGTAAAATGTACCTGAGTCAGGCCACAGTTCTCCTGGACTATGAGCCCCTGGCCATGTTCCTGAGGCAATTCTGTTCATCTAAATATAATAATAATAACACACTAAAAATGGCAAGCCATTGTTAATTCCTGAAGTCTCATTTGAAAATTACTAAATGTCTGTTATTTTTTGGTGTTTACATTATATGTAGACAGATAAACTACACACACACACACACACACACATGCACACAGAAGAATGGATTGGTTCATGTAGAAAAGTAAATAATTCAAGATGAAAGGATGAAATGTCATGGCACCTACTATTCTATTTTAGATAAAGGGTCTATGAAAAGATTGATTTCTTTTTATGTTTTATTTGTTGACATTTGAACACAAACTATGTAAGTGAGGGAGTCGATTTGAAAGGGAGAAGAGCAAGTTCAAACACATTCAGGTGAGGTCATGCTTTACATGTTTTAATTGAAATGATCCATCTTGGGAGTAGATCAATAACTGAGATGGTGCCAGGAATGTTAAAAAGCTTTTGTCAGTCCTAAATATTGACAAATAAAATTTAATTAAAGTCTTAGAAGAAAACACAAAGGAAAACTTCACAACATCGGATTTGGCAGTGATTCTTTAGATGTGACAACAACGGCACAGGCTACTACAGAAAAAATAAACAAGTTAGACTTTATGAAAATTTTGAAATATTGTGACTCAAAAGACAACATCAGTTACTTCACATGGCAAGGAAAAAGAACTTTTAAGACGATATTATCAAAGTAAAAAGACAACCCACAGAATGGGAGAAAATGTTTTCAAACCACACCACCTGTAAGGGATTAACATCCAGAATATACAGACAACTCCTAAAACTCAATCACAATAAACTCAATTCAAAAATGGGCAAAGTACTGAAACAGACATTTCTCCAAAGAACATACGCATGAAAAGATATTCAGCATCACGAATCATTAGGGAAATACTAACTAAAACTACACCAGATGCCATTTCATACCCCTTAGGATGGGTATCATCAAAACAACAACAACAACAACAACAAAGTTTCTATACATTAACAACAAACTATCCAAAAAAGTTTACAAGAAAATAAGCCCATTTGCAATAACTACAGAAAACAAAACATGCAGGAATAAATTCACCCAAGGAGTAGAAAGATCTGTATGCAAAAGCTATAAAACATTGATGAAAAAACTCAAGAAATAAACAAATAAATCGAAAGATATTCCATGTTCACGGATCAGAAGGATTAATGTTGTTAAAATGTCCATTCTATCCAAAGTGATTCAATGCAACCATTATCAAAAATCCAATGACATTTTTTTTACAGAAATAGAAAAAACAGTCCTAAAATTCATGTGGAACCACAAAAGATCTCAAATAACCAAAGCCATCTAGAGGGAAAGGAACAAAGTTGGAAGCATCACATTACCTAAACACAAACTACATTACAAAATTACAGTAATTAAAACAACACAGTACTTGCATAAAAACAGACACATAGACCAATGGAAGTGATTCATAGCCCAGGAAAAAAATGCATGCATTTAGGGTCAAACAATTTTTGGGATGTGTCAAGAACACACAATGGAGAAGGAACAGTCTCTTTAATAAATGGGATTGGGAGACTGCATGTCCACATGCAGAAGAATGGAAGTGGACATTTGCCTCACAAAACATACAAAGTCAACTCAAGATAGATTAATGACTTAAATGTAAGATGAAAGACTATAATCCCAGCAATTTGGGAGGCCAAGGTGGGCAGATCACCTAAGGTCAGGATTCCAAGACCAGCATGGCCAACATGGTGAAATCCCGCCTCTACTAAAAATACAAAAACAGCTGGGTGTGGTTGTGGGTGCCTGTAATCTCAGCTACTCGGGAGGTTGAGACAGGAGAATCACTTGAACCCAGGAGGTAGAGGTTGCAGTGAGCCGAGATCGCACCACTGCACTCCAGCCGGGGCAACACAGTGAGACTCCATCTTAAAAAAAAAAAAAAAACTACTAAAAGAAATCAAGGGAAAACTCCACTGGCTTGGGCAAAACCATTTTGGATATTAACCCAAAGGCCCAGGCAACAAAAGCAAAAGTAGACAAATAACATTATATCAAATTGAAAGTTTCTGCAAAGAAAAAAAAAACTCAACAAGTGGAAAGACAACCTATGGAATGGGAGAATATATTTGCACCCATACATCTAATAAGGAATTAATATCCAAAATATATAAGAAACTCAAACAACTCAATGGTAAGAAATCAAATAACCCAACTTAAAAAAATGGGCAAAGTATCTGAATAAACATTTCTAAGAATAAGACAAATCACCAAAAGGTATATGAAAAAATGATTAGCATTACTAAACATCAGCTAAATAAAAATTAAAACTAGAATGAGATATCACCTCACACCTCTTAGAATGACCATTAACAGTCTGGGCATGGTGGCTCATGCCTGTAATTCAGGCACTTTGGGAGGCCGAGGCAGGGAGATTACCTGAGGTCAGCAGTTCGAAACCAGCCTGGCCAATATGGTGAAACCCCATCCCTACTAAAAATACAAAAATTAGCAGAGTTTGGTGGCGCACACTTGTAGTCCCAGCTACTCTGGAGACTGAGGCAGGGGAATCGCTTGAACCCAGGAGGCAGAGGTTGCAGTACACCGAGATTGTGCCACTGCACTCCAGCCTGGGTGACAGAGCAAGACTGAGTCTCAAAAAAAAAAAAAAAAAAAGACCATTATCAAAAACATAAAAAATAACAAGGGTTAACGAGGATGTGGAGAAAAGGGAACATTTGTATGCAGTTGATGGGAATGTAAATTAGCACAACCATTATGGAAAACAGTCTGGAAGTTCCTGAAAAAATTAAACATAGAATTCCCATATGTGTCTGCAATCCAACTACTGCGCATGTATCCAAAGGAAGTGGAATCAGTATGTTGAAGAGATATCTGCATTCCCATGTTTACAGCCGCATTATTCATAACAGCCAAGATGTGGAATCACCCTTACTGCCCATCTATGGGTGCATGGACAAAGAAAACGTGGTATACGATAGGAACGTAATGAAGTACTATACAACCTTTACAACAAAGAAGGAAGTCCTCTCATTTGTGACAATGTGAAAAAACTTAGAGGACATTATGTTAAGGGAAACAATCCAGGCACAGAAAGACAAATGCCACATGATCTCATGTGTGGAGTGTAAGAAGTGGAACCTAGAGGAACAGTAAAATGGTCGTCGAAAGAACCTGGGATGGAGAGAGATTGAAGAGATGTTGGTCAAAGGATGCAAAATTTCAGTTAGAAGAAATCGGTTCAAGAGATCTATTGTATGTCTTGGTGACTCCAGTTAATAGCAACATATGGTGTATTGAACATTACTAAGAGATTAGATTTTACATGTTCTCACCACACACACAAAACATACAAGTATGTGAAAAAATAAATATGATAAAGAGGTTGTTTCATCCATTCCACAATGTGTACCTATATGAAAACATCATGATGGACACCACAAATACCCTTTTCCTCATTAATTAAATTTGTTTTGGTTTTTTTTTTGAGATGCAGTTTCACTGTTGTTGCCCAAGCTGAGGTGCAATGGCGTGATCTCCGCTCACTGCAACCTCTGCCTCCCAGGTTCAAGCGGTTCTCCTGACTCAGCCTCCCAAGCAGCTGGGACTACAGTTGCGTACCACCCCGTCCGGCTATATTTGTGTTTCTAGTAGAGACAGGGTTTCGCCATGTTGGCCAGGCTGGTCTCGAACTCCAGACCTCAGGTGATCCACCCGCTTCGCCCTCCCAAAGTGCTAGATTTCAGGCTGAGACACCACACCCAGCCTGTACATTGACTTTCTGCCCTTAAACTGTGCTGAAGTTTGTTTCTCAGATGTAGGAGCCTTTGGGCAGAGACTATGGGGTTTCTAGGTATAGAAATTATCTCATCTTCAAACAGAGGTAATTTGACTACCTCTCTCTGCTACTCTCTTCTTACTTGGATGCCTTATAATTCTTTCTCTTTCCTGATGGCTCTGTCTAGGACTTCAAGTACTATGTTGAATAGGATGGTGAGAGTGGGCATTCTTGTCTTGTTTCACTTATGAAGGGAACTTCTTCCAGCTTTTACTCATTCAGTATGATGTTGGTTGTGGGTTTGTCACAGGCGGCTCTTATTATATTGAGTTATGTTTCTTCAATGCTTAGCTTGTTGAGGGCTTTTAACATGAAGAAATGCTTAGTAAAAAGTATGTTCTACATGTGTGTTGAGAAGATCATGTGGTTTTTGTTTTTAGTTTTGTTTAGGTGATGAATCACATGTATTGATTGTGTATGTTCAACCAACCTTGCACCCTAAGAATAAAGTTGACTTGATCATGGTGGATTCACTTTTTGATATGCTGCGGGATTCAGTTCTTAGTATTTTTTGTGGATTTTTGCCTCTATGTTCATCAGGAATATTGGCATGTAGTTTTCTTTTGTTTAATGTTCTTTTCTGTCTTTAGTATCAGGGTGATGCCAGCCTTATAGAATGAGTAAAGGCCACCCTGGGCAAACAGTGAGACCCATCCCTTTTTAAAAATTATGAGTTTTACAAATTTAAAATGCATAGTGAAAAAGTTCTTACAAACTCCAGAAAGGTAGGTGTAAATAAGAGACATTTGTAAGAATGACAGCACATTAAATGTGTAGATTTCAACCTTCAGTTATTGCAATATTCCAGTATCAAGTTGGAGGATGTTATCAGTCTGATATTTTTTCCTCAAATGAGAGAGAGAAAGAAAGACACACAAACAACACAGGGAGAAAAAAAGCACACGTTACAGAGAGACAAAAAGGGAGACAGGGAACTGTGAATTTGGACTCTTGTGTCATAAGACAAATTCTAGATAACACGACCAGACCTTCAATTGACATATTGTGTTTTTGCTAATAAGGTGGAATTCTATGATGCGAAATAACTATATAGTCTTTTCTACTGGGATTTAAATCATTTTATCTGTTTCTGGCTTAACAGGAAAAATACAACCATGGAAAATTATGATGATTTATTTAATACGATTGCTCTATAGTGTTAATAAAACCTATTAGGTATTTTGCATATTACATATCAAGGAGAGTTTGAATCTCAGGTAGAAACAAAAAAAAATACATCAAAAGTTCCTCATGTGAGTGCAGAATTCAATCGTCCCGTGCAGGGGTAAGTGAGTCTGAGATGTGTTTTGAGCCTGGCCGTTGCGCATGATGTGAAGTGACAAGTCTAGTCTGCAGTTTTCAGAAACCCTCATTCCTCCCTTGACTGATTCACCACTTGAACCTCATATGACGTAGAAGAAGCCTACCTATGTCCCCTTCACATGTTGTGGTCAATGTGTCAACTGCACGATCCGGGCCCCTCACCACATCCTCTGCACCGGTCAGTCGAGCCGAGTCACTGCGTCCTGGCAGCAGAAGCTGCACCATGTCCATGTCACCCACGGTCATCATCCTGGCATGTCTTGGTGAGTCCTGGAAGGGAAGGAGCACCAGGGTTACACTATGGGCCTGCAGATTGGGTGTCTCCCCAGCAGAGAGCCATGTTCTGAAGCAAGTGAGTGGTGAGGATGAGTTAATTTTCAGTCCAGCGTGGCGCCCAGTGGCTCAGGAGGAAAGGGTAGGTTGCTGCCGAGATGAATAGTTCCTCATGATCTTTCTTTGCAGGGTTCTTCTTGGACCAGAGTGTGTGGGCACACGTGGGTGAGTCCTTCCCCAAATGATGGGTTGCCATCTTCACCCCAATACAAGTGAATTTTCCGGAAATGGGAGGGAGGCAGCACAGAGGGTGGGCTGATGGGCTGACCATGGGAAGGCCTGGGGGGAGTCTCTCATGAACTAGTAAGAGGAGATCCTGGGAGTCTCTCATGAACTAGTAAGAGGAGATCCTGGGAGTCTCTCATGAACTAGTAAGAGGAGATCCTGGTATGCTCAGCCTTCTGTTTTGTCTTAGCCCTCCCCAGCCTTTCTTCCCCATGGCTGAGTTGAGCTCTGTGTGGCCCAGGCGGGATACTGAGGTGCTCAAAGCTGGGGTGTGTGGGGGGATGTGGTGTCACCGACAGAGGAGGGAAGGGTAGCAGTGTTAGGAACAGCAGGTCCTCTGAGGACAAGAGGGTAACTCACACCCTCCAGCGTTTCCATGACGGTAGGGGCTGCAGTGTGGCTGCTGTCATTCTGCCAGAAGAGGTGGGGGAACCACAGCCACGACCCTGCCATTCCAAATCCTCTGATGGAGCTCAGTTGTTTATTGTGGTTCAGGCATTAGCTAATATTCCATTCACAAAGGTCATACCCTCCACCCCATGTCTACTTTGTGTTGTTTGGTGTAACTAATCTTGCAGTATTAAAATCTAGTAAGAGTCCCTTACTCAGCACCTGCTCAGTTCTCAACTGACACTTTTGTTGTAGGGAGACGCCACGTCTATGCGGGATGGGTCCTTCCTGTAGCCCCAGGCACCCAGGTGTGGTAGGAGCCTTAGAAAGAAGAAATGGGGAGAATCTTCTGAGCACAGGGAGGGAGGGGCAGCTCAACATACTCCTCTCTGAGGCGGCATCTCCTTCTCCCCAAGGTGGTCAGGACAAGCCCTTCTGCTCTGCCTGGCCCAGCGCTGTGGTGCCTCAAGGAGGACACGTGACTCTTCGGTGTCACTGTCGTCGTGGGTTTAACATCTTCACGCTGTACAAGAAAGATGGGGTCCCTGTCCCTGAGCTCTACAACAGAATATTCTGGAACAGTTTCCTCATTAGCCCTGTGACCCCAGCACACGCAGGGACCTACAGATGTCGAGGTTTTCACCCGCACTCCCCCACTGAGTGGTCGGCACCCAGCAACCCCCTGGTGATCATGGTCACAGGTCAGAGGGCTCCTGTCTGGGCTTCTCCTTGTCCCACCTCCTGAGTCCCAGAGCTTCTGGTGGGGGTGTCCACCAGAGTCCGATCATCCAGGCCCCAACTATATTTGGGGTAAAGGGGGATTGAATACAGGGGAATGGGTGCTGTGTTGGAAAGAATAACTGTCCCCATCGATGGCCACATTGTAATCCTTGGAGCCTGTGACTATGTTATAGGGCAGGGGACTGAAGGGGAAGATGGAGCTCAGGTTGTTGATGAGTTGACCTTGAGATGGGGAGATGGCCTGGACCCTCCCACTGGGCTCAGTGTAATCACAAGGGTCCATATGAGTGGAGAAGGAAGAGGAGAATGGGGATTAGAGCAGCATCGTGGGATACTCCACCAGCCACTGTGGGCTTTGAAGGTGGAGGAAGACCACGAGCCACGAAGGGGCTGGAGAAATCAATGGAACTGATTCTCCCGAGTCTCCAGAGGGAATGCAGCCCTGCAGATGCCTTGATTGTAGCCCAGGAAGAACAGGGTCTGATTTCTGTCTCCAGAAGTGGAAGGGGTCAGTGTGTTCTCTCCTGCCGCCATGTTTGTGATAATTTTCTCCAGCAACATCAGGAAACCAACACAGGAACCCAGGTGAAGGACAAGTTAAAAAACCAAACAAGAAGGTTGGCTACCCTGAGATCAGCAAGGGTGCACTGCTGATGCCACCACCAGGCTGGAACCACATAGGGAGGGATCGACAGGAAGAGTTGGGGGTGGAGGGTGAGAGAGAGAGAGAGAGAGAGAGCACTAGGCCATAGAGCAGGGCAGTGAGTTCTCAGCTCAGGTGGGAGGGGAGCTGTGACAAGGAAGAACCTCCCTGAGGAAACTGCCTCTTCTCCTTCCAGGTCTATATGAGAAACCTTCGCTTACAGCCCGGCCGGGCCCCACGGTTCGCGCAGGAGAGAACGTGACCTTGTCCTGCAGCTCCCAGAGCTCCTTTGACATCTACCATCTATCCAGGGAGGGGGAAGCCCATGAACTTAGGCTCCCTGCAGTGCCCAGCATCAATGGAACATTCCAGGCCGACTTCCCTCTGGGTCCTGCCACCCACGGAGAGACCTACAGATGCTTCGGCTCTTTCCATGGATCTCCCTACGAGTGGTCAGACCCGAGTGACCCACTGCCTGTTTCTGTCACAGGTGAGGAAAGCCAATGTCTGTCCCATGTCCTATGGTCCTAGAGCCTTAGCTGAGGAGCTTCCTGCTGATGATGGAGAGAAGCATGGACAGATGTGGAGAGAAGATGCAGCATGGTGTGAGGGTGGGATCAGGGCACAGGATGGCAGACAGGGCACCTCCAAACCCTCCTGCATGGCCTGCATGGAAGCTTGCAGTAAGGGCTCCGGGTACCCAGGCAGATGGAGAAAGTGGTCAGGACAGACCCAGAGGAGGGAGACTGGGCTCAGTTTGGGGAGATCAGAGGTTCCCTCAGCCCCTCAACCTTACCCATTTCCCAGAAGCCCACCCTGGCCTCTCACCTACACAGAGATGTCATCACCAGCAACCCCTACACTTTTTCTTTTCCTTTGAAAAAATGCTGATTGAGGTTAAATATACCTATATAATTTATCAACTTTACCATTTTTAAGTGTAAAATCTAGGGATCATAAATACCTTTATATGCTGTGTGCGGTGGCTCACGCCTGTAATCTCAGCATTTTGAGACGCCAAGGCAGGTGGATCATTTAAAATCAGGGGCTGGAGACCAGCCCGGCCAACATGGGGGAACCAATCTTTACTAAAAAGACAAAAAAAATAAAATTAGCCAGGCATGGTGCCAGGCGCCTATAATCCCAGCAACTTGGGAGGCTGAGGCGGGAGAGTGGCTTAAACCCAGGAGGAGGAGGTTGCAGTGAGCTGAGATCATGCCACTGCACTGCAGCCTGGTGACACAGAGAGACTCTGTCTCTAAATAAATAAATAAATACTTTTATATTCTTCTTTTGTTACCCTCCACCCCTTCCTTCCTAACCTCTGGTATCCACCATTCTACTCTCTACCTTCATGAGGTCCACCTTTTACATCCTGCATGTGAGTAAGAAATGGCAATCCTTGTAATGACCTCCAGTCCATCCATGTGGCTGCAAATGACAGGACGTTTCTCTTTGTATGGATGAGTTGTCTCCATTGTGTGTATGTACTACATTCTCTCTATCCATTCATCCACTGATGGGCAGGTAGGTTGACTCCACATCTTGGCTACTGTGAACAGTGCTGGAACAGTCATGGGAGTGCAGATGTCACTTCAATACACTGAAGTCCTTTTCTTTGCATTTACACCCACTAGTGGAATTGCTAGATCCTCTGGATGTTCTCTTTTTAGGTTTTGTTTTATGCTTTTTGTTTTTTTGACATAGCGTTTCACTCTTGTTGCCCAAGCTGGAGTGCAATGGCACCACCTGGGCTCACTGCAACCTCTACCTCCAGGATTCAAGTGATTCTCCAGCCTCAGCCTCCCGAGTAGTTGGGATTACTGGTGCCCGCCACCACGCCTGGCTGATTTTTGTATTTTTAGTAGAGACGGGGTTTCACCATGTTAGCCAGGCTGGTCTCGAACTCTTGACCTCCAGTGATCTGCCCACTTCAGCCTCCCAAGGTGCTGGGATTACAAGCGTGAGCCACAGTGCCTAATCTCTTTTTAGTTTTTAAGGAACTTCCATATTCTTCTCCTCTGTAATGGCTGTATTAATTTACATTCCTATCAACAGTGTATCAGGGTTCTCCTTTCTCCACCACCTTGCCAACATTTGTTTTGTCTGTCTCTGAGATAAAACCCATTGTAATGGGGTGAGATGATAGCTCATTGTGACTTCATTTGCATTTCTCTGATGATTAGTGATACTGAGCACTTTTTCATATATGCAATGTATATATGTTCATTTGTATGTTTTGTTCATTGAGAAATGTCTGTTCAGGTCTTTTACTAATTTTATAATTAAATTATTAGTTTTATTGAGGTGTTTGAGCTTCTTTTATATTCTAGTTATTAATCCCATCTCAGATGCATAGTTTGCAAATATTTGCTCCCATTCTGTGGGTTGTCTCTTCTTCACTTCATTGGTTGCTTCCTTTGCGGTGCAGAAGCTGCTTGATTTGATATAATCCCAATGGTCTATTTTTTTGTTGTTGTTGTGATTACTTGTGTTTTTGAGGTTTTAAACAAAATGTCTTCCCTCAGACAAATGTCCTGGAGCATTTCTCCAGTGTTTCCTTTTAGACATTTAATGGATTCAGGTCTTAAGTCATTAATCCATTTTCATCTGATTTTTGTGTATGGTGAGAGGTAGAGGTGCAGTTTCATCCCTCTGCATGTAGATATCCAGTTTTCCCTGCACCATTTATTGAAATGACTGTCCTTTCCAGATTGTAGATTCTTCGAACCTTTGTCAAAGTCCATTGGATGTAAATGGGTGGATTACATCCGTGTTCTTCATTCTGCTCCATTGTTTTATGTGCTTTTCTTTATGCCAATGTCATGTTGTTTTGCTTACTACAGCTCTGTAACATATTTTTAAGTCAGGTAGTGTGATGCTCCTGTTTTCTCCTTATACCTTGAAGTCTCAAGATAGTTGGTGTCACCTACAATGATTATGGAGAATGGGATGCCAGGACTCCCAGGGCCCAACATTAGATAATAGAATGTTGGCCATGAACCAACCTCAAAGATTTCCATTGAGTAGAAGACAGGCATCCTCATTGCCACACCTCTCTCCTGTCCCATGTTCTAGGAAACCCTTCTAGTAGTTGGCCTTCACCCACTGAACCAAGCTTCAAAACTGGTAAGTGAAGGACCCCTCTTATCTCTGCTTTTGGAAACCTGGGGAGGTAGAAGCCTTGGATTCAAGCGTTGGCTCAGCACCTGCCAGCTCTGTGATTGTGGGCCTGTCTTCCATTGTCTCTGAACCCCAGACACTCCAACAGCGAAAGGGATCTGGGCCCAGCACAGGGCTCAGTGAAATCTCTTAATCTCTAATTTTCTGCTGCTGAGACCTCAGGGTAGAAGGATGAGTGCAAATCAGACATTCTTCTCAGGAAAAATGCTGTGTTTGTTCTGCCTGCATTCCTAACTGGGAGGACAAATGCCTGGGGGCTTGAGAAGGGGAAGGACGGGGAACATTTTTGAGGGTGGTGTATTTGTAGAGAAGTTCTACTTGCCAAGGAATGAGCTCCTGTCTGTCATGATCCAACCCTGGTTGACTTAGTGGAACAAGAGCTTTGCGGTAAGAGAGAACGTAGTTCATCCGTGCACATGACACTTCCACTTACTCGTTCAGCCACTGCCCCATGCTCAGACTGTGCAGTGTGGAACCTTTTCCTATGTTGCCATAACAAATTTCCACAAGCTTCGTGGATGGAAACCACATTTTAAAAAAATATCTCATGGTGCTGTAGCTCAGAAGTATGAAATGCATCATCTCACTGGGCTAAAATCAAGGTGACAGCAAGGCTGCCTTCCCTCTGAATGTTCCAGGCAAGAATCTGCTTCCTCACTTTTCCCAGCTCCTAGAGGCTCCCACATTCCTTGGCTCCTGGTCCCCGTCTTCCTCCCTCAAAGTCCACAAAGGCTGGTCACGCCTCTCACACGGCATCACTCAGACCCTTCTTCCTTGTCCACACCTCTTTCTCTGAATGCTGCTCTGCCTTCTTCCTCATCTTTTAAGGACTTTGGCATTCTATTGGAAACACCAAGATAATCCATCATAATTTCCCTAAAATCATCTAGGATACCCTCCTTTTAAGGTTAGCTGATTAGCAACCGTAATTCCATCTGCAATCTGCATTCCTTTTTTCCATGTAAAATAACATATTCACAAGATATGGCGACTAGGACAGGAACATTTTGGGGTGGGGCGGCATTCTTATCCTTTCCACAAATGGTAAACAAGGTGCATTTGGCCTCTGCTCTTGGACACTGATATTGCAAAGGATTAAATGGGAGGGCAGAAAATGAATGCACCAGTGGACCAATAAATGAATGATCCATTGGGAAGCATCTGTGCATGAGAATGATTGATTGATTGGTTGTTTTTATGAGACGGTGTCTCCCTCTGTGCCCCAGGCTGGAGTGCAGTGGCGGGATCTCGGCTCACCGCAACCTCCACCTCCCAGGTTAAAGCGATTCTCTACACTCAGCTTCCCGAGAGGCTGGGATTACACCCATGTCCCACCACGCCTGGCTAATTTTTTTTTGGTATTTTTTTTTTAGTACAGACAAGGTTTTACCATGTTGCCCAGGCTATCTCAAACTCCCAACCTTAAGGGATCCGCCCGTCTCAGCCTCCCAAAGTGCTGAGATTCGAGGCGTGAGCCAAGGCGCCGAGCCGTATTTTAAAAGAAATAATAGATAATGCTGAGTGTATAATTTCGGGTGACAGAGAAGTTCTCACTGATCAAATAATACTTGTGACCTTAATGAAAAAAATAGATCAACCCCTGGAAGATTGGCGGAAGGATTTTCCACACAGCTGTCAGCCGTGAAGGCACAAAGGTGAAAACAATGTTATGTGGAAGGAAGAGGCTCTGCCTGAAATGCTGGGAATGAGATGGGGAGAATGACAAGACGACTGTGGAGAGACAGAGAGCACTCTGGGTACACAGGAAACTAAGGAGGAACAAGGAGCGTGTGTTTGACACTCACAGCCATTGGACTTACCTCGGGGCTAACTGGGAATCCCTACATGATGAATAGTGACTGACATGAAAATAAGGGAGGCCCAGGTGCATAACTGGAATCTAGGAGACTGTGGAAAAGGCAATTCCCGCCCCCCTGGTGAAATGTGGTGCTGATTTAGACACTAAATGAATGAAAGATGGACACAAGATGTGTTTGTGAGGTAGAGTAATTTGCAGGGAGGGCTTGCCTGCTTTGATTTTTCCTAATTGTTTAATCTTCACTTCATTGATTTCTTTCTGAGATTTATTTTTCCTACATGTAAATCAATACTTGGCAGAGGAGTGAGAGATACATGAGGGGTGGTGCAAAGGAAGAGACCTATTATAATATAACACACAAGGTTCTGAACGGTGGCTCACACCTGTAACCCAACATTTTGGGAGGCTGAGGAGGCTGGATCAAGTGAGATCAGGAGTTCGAGATCAGCCTGGACAACATGGTGAAACCCCATCTCTACTAAATATACAAAAACTAGCTGGGGGTGGTGGCGCATGCCTGTAATACCAGCTATTCGGGAAGTTGAAGAAGGAGAATGGCTTCAACCAGGGAGGGAGAGGTTACAGTGAGCCAAGATCGCGTCATTGCACTGCACCCTAGGTGACAGAGTGAGACTCCATGGCAAAAAATAAAAATAAAGAATACATAAATATAATATAACATACACGAATGACAAAGGCACACCAATTCCAATCATCATTTTTCTATTTCTCTATAATGACTTCTTTGATCCTTTATCCTATCCATAAGAAAATCAGGCGAAAACATCTTCCTTATTTGGCTTTCTGTGAGCATGAGATCATATGGAAAATGTGAAACCCACCAGCGCAGGTCCTGGAATAGAGAACGTGATCTGTTCATGGCACAAAACTTGCCCCTTCACCCAAATCCCCCACCTCACCCCTACTTCCAATCACATTAATGATACAGATAGATCATGGGGAGGTAAAAACTAATATTCTTTGGAGTTCAGATCGTAGACTCAGAGACCAGTGCCAGCACTATCTCCTGGTCACCTTTTGGAGTAATTCACAGAAAGACAGGCTGTATTGAAGCAACAGATGATGGAGGGGGTGGTCTTTCCCCCAGACTCTCGGGTGGAACAGCAGCCTAATATCTGACTCCCAAGATGACAAAAGTAGCATGTTGCCCACGAGCTTCATCATTATTTCCTGGCTGTTTGATATAAGACAGCTCAACCTCACTTATGTTGATTTCAATGTCACTGTTTTTTCCTTTTCTTGGAGAATGTAATTTGTTTGAGTCAAGAGGGTTGTGGATGTAGAAACTGTAAAGCACATTCACTGTGTATCAATCCCAGTCCAGTCTTCCCAGAGAAGACTCTAAACACCTCCCATACTGCACCTGGGGCTGTGCCAATTTCTATCACTCACCATCACTCCAGGGAGACAGAACACACAGGGAATACATTACATAGGCAGGTTCATTACTTATAGATAAGCAGCGAGTGACAACAGAAACCTTCCTTTCAGGGTGAGCCAGTCCCTCAAGGCTCAGAAAAACTGCTCAGGACACATGGAGTCACTTCATGTGCACTGTAGCTGGGGGAAGCCAGAAAGCAGCCCAGCCTGGGTTTTGTACCCTGGAGCCACAGGGAACACTCAGCTAAAGCACTGCATGATGTTCTCCTCCAGGAAGAACAGGAAGACAGCCCAGGCTGTTCTGAGACGTTCCTCCTGATCTCAGGATGTTGCTGTCTTAGCCTATTTTTGTTGCTATAAAAGAACACTTGAGCCTGGGTATCTTCTAAAGAAAAGAGATGTGTTTGGCTCACTGATCTGCACGCTGTACTAGAAGCAGGACACTACCATCTATTTCTGGCTGCGGCCTCAGGCTGCTCCCACACTGACAGAAGAGAAGGGGGTCCTGCGTGTGCAGAGACCACAGAGATCACATGGCAAGAGAGGGAGAAAGGGGGTGTGATGGAGCTTCCAAGCTCTTTTTAAGAATCAACTCTCCAGGGTACTAATAGAGGGAGAACTTGCTAACCCCGTCCTCTGGGGACAGCATTAATCTATTCATGATGGATCCACCCCCATGACCAAAACACCCCTCCCAATAGGCACAACCTCCCACACTGGGGATTAAATTTCAAAGTGGGGTTTGGAGGGGTCAAACATTGAAACAATAGCAGTTGTATCATCAGCACATTCTATTGTTATTATGAAAACTATAACGGAGAAAGCAGGAGAAAGCTGGGTCTCCCGCCTCGTGGGTGCTTGTCCTAAAGAGGTGTTTTATGTGGTTGCCTGGCAACCAAGAAATGAGAGACAATCCACAAAGAGGAACTGCTATGGTTAGCTTCTTATTGGATTCTCATCTTCCTCCAGGTATCGCCAGACACCTGCATGCTGTGATTAGGTACTCAGTGGCCATCATCCTCTTCACCATCCTTCCCTTCTTTCTCCTTCATCGCTGGTGCTCCAAAAAAAAAAGTAAGCCTCACGAAGCAGAGGCCAGAGAACTCAGGGCCCTGTGCGGAAGCAGGATGGGAGCACGCAGGTGTGTGTTCCTCACTGGCAGGAAAGTCTCTGGCCCAAGGCAGGAGCCAGAGGCAGAGCTTTCTAGAGAGAGCACCAGACAACCTGCCCCTGCCTTCAGCTCACAGACCATTGCCTGATTGTGAACTGTATCCTCACGTCCCCTGCAGCCACTCACATCCAGGAGAAGATTCCATGACAGGCAGAAAGTGGGAGATAGAATCAATGGGATGGGAACTGACAGCTATTCATGGAATGGGGTCTTGCACTCAGAGAGATGGAATGTCTGAGTCTGGCTGTTGGCAGCTGAGGGACCTCAGGCACCTATGGCCTCCCCCTGTGTGTTGGTATCTGTTCATGAAATGAGGACCCAGAAGTGCCCTCCCAGCTGTTTCGATTGCTTCCGTCTCCTACAGATGCTGCTGTAATGAACCAAGAGCCTGCGGGACACAGAACAGTGAACAGGGAGGTAGGTCCTCCTAGCCCAGCCTCATGGATACAGTCTTATTCCCTAATAGTCCTGAAAAATGTGAACACCCTCCCTCACTCAGGATTTCCCTCTCTCCAGGACTCTGATGAACAAGACCCTCAGGAGGTGACATACGCACAGTTGGATCACTGCATTTTCACACAGAGAAAAATCACTGGCCCTTCTCAGAGGAGCAAGAGACCCTCAACAGATACCAGCGTGTGTATAGAACTTCCAAATGCTGAGCCCAGAGCGTTGTCTCCTGCCCATGAGCACCACAGTCAGGCCTTGATGGGATCTTCTAGGGAGACAACAGCCCTGTCTCAAACCCAGCTTGCCAGCTCTAATGTACCAGCAGCTGGAATCTGAAGGCGTGAGTCTCCATCTTAGAGCATCACTCTTCCTCACACCACAAATCTGGTGCCTGTCTCTTGCTTACCAATGTCTAAGGTCCCCACTGCCTGCTGCAGAGAAAACACACTCCTTTGCTTAGCCCACAATTCTCTATTTCACTTGACCCCTGCCCACCTCTCCAACCTAACTGGCTTACTTCCTAGTCTACTTGAGGCTGCAATCACACTGAGGAACTCACAATTCCAAACATACAAGAGGCTCTCTCTTAACACGGCACTTAGACACGTGCTGTTCCACCTTCCCTCGTGCTGTTCCACCTTTCCTCAGACTATTTTTCAGCCTTCTGGCATCAGCAAACCTTATAAAATTTTTTTGATTTCAGTGTAGTTCTCTCCTCTTCAAATAAACATGTCTGCCTTCATTCTTTAGGTGACTCTTTTTTTGGCTGAAAGTTTCCAGTGTTATCATTACCATGTCCAAATAACTCCAACTGTTCTCCACTGGGTTCTCACCCCTGGACTCTGAGCTTCTGGAAGCAGGGTGGAGCCTCATTTGTCTCTGAGACTCCAATTTCCATCCAAAGATGCAGCACATAAGAGGTTCCAAGGATCGTGAATCACATGAACAAGTGATATTCTTACTCTCTGCAGACCTGGAAAGCTGGCAGAGTCATTCCATGATGAAACATTTGTAGAGTCATAGGCCTTGTTAGTCTCATCTCCACGGGGACACATATCAACACATCATCTTTCATACTATAAATATACAGTCGGTCCTCTGTATCTGTGGGATTTACAGGTGTTTATTGAACCAAATATAAATCAAAAATATTCAGAGAAAAAATCCACAAAGTTTCAAAAAGCAAAACTATGTTGAATGGACACAAATGAAGCTGTGTGTAGGCTGTATCAGGAATTATAAATAATCAAGGGATGATTTCATGTACACAGGAGGATGTGCATGGGTTATTTGCAAATGCTGTGCCATTTCATGTAAGAGGCTTGAGCATCTGCAGATTGTGCTATCTGAGTGGAGATCCTGAGACCAATCACCCACGAATAATGAGGGATGACTGTATATAATTTTTATTTCTCAATTTTAAATATAAAACATAAAAAAATTACAATAACAAGATAAAATAAACAAGTGTTTTATAGTGTGAGAATACTTTTAGATATATTTTTCTCCATGTGTAACCCTTGGGCCCATGTTATTTATTGAGAAGACATTCTATTCCACCTTAAACCACATGGCAGCCTTTGTCAACTATAAAGGGACTGTGTGTACACGGATGTATTTTAGACACTGTTTTCTGCTCAGTGGCTCTCTCTCTGTCCACTCTCTTGAGAATGCTGCATTTTATGCAGCCTTATACAACCCCTAAAATTTGGTAGCTGGAGTCCTCTAGTTATTTATTATAGGCTATTTGCTATGCTTTTTTTATTTTTCTTGAGGCAGAGTCTCGCTCTGTTGCCCAGGCTGGAGTGCAGTGGCACGATCTCGGCTCACTGCAACTTCTGCCTCCCAGGTTCAAGGGATTCCGTGCCTCAGCCTCTTGAATAGCTGGCATTACAAGTGCCTGCTACCAGGCATGGCTAATTTTTGTATTTTTAGCAGAGACATGGTTTCACTATATTGGCCAGGCTGGTCTCAAACTCCTGACCTCGGTTGATCACTCACCTCGGCTTCCAAAGTGCTGGGGAAATTGATTTTCTATAGCATTATGTTACTGGATATTTCTGTAAAATTTAAAATGAGGGAGGCAGAGAGACAGAGAGAGAGCAAACCATGAGTTGGAACTCTGGAATCTTGGGACATGAGACAAATTCTAGATAAATCTACAAAAATCCAGAATTTACATGTTGTGATTTTTGCTGATAAAGTACAATTCTAAGATTGTAAATAATTGCATAATCCTTCCCTGGGAGTTTAAATCATTTGAACTGGTTCTGCTGTAATACTAGAAATACAATCATGAAAAATTCTAATGGTTTATTAGTCACAATTGCTCTGAAAACCTTAATAATACCTATTAGATATTTTGCATATTACACAGGAAGAAGAGTTTGAATCTCAGATAAAAGCAATAAAAATACATGAAAAGTCTTTCATGTTAGCACAGATTTTAGGCATCTCGTGTTCAGGAGGTTGGATCTGAGACGTGTTTTGAGTTGGTCATAGTGAAGGACGCGAGGTGTCAATTCTAGTGAGAGCAATTTCCAGGAAGCCATGCTCCGCTCTTGAGCGAGCACCCACTGGGCCTCATGCAAGGTAGAAAGAGCCTGCGTACGTCACCCTCCCATGATGTGGTCAACATGTAAACTGCATGGGCAGGGCGCCAAATAACATCCTGTGCGCTGCTGAGCTGAGCTGGGGCGCAGCCGCCTGTCTGCACCGGCAGCACCATGTTGCTCATGGTCGTCAGCATGGCGTGTGTTGGTGAGTCCTGGAAGGGAATCGAGGGAGGGAGTGCGGGGATGGAGATCTGGACCTGGAGGTAAAGATATGGGCCTAGAGGTGGAGTTATGGGCCTGGAGGTGGAGTTATGGGCCTGAAGTGGAGATCTGGGCCTGGAGTGGAGATCTGGGCCTGGAGTGGAGATAGGGGCCTGGGGTGGAGATATGTGCCTGGAGTGGAGATCTGGGCCTGGAGTGGAGATATGGGCCTGGGGTGGAGATATGTGCCTGGGGTGGAGATATGGGCCTGGAGGGGAGATATGGGCCTGGAGGGGAGATGTGGGCCTAGAGGTGGAGTGATGGGCCTAGAAGTGGAGCGATGGGCCTGGAGTGGAGATATGGGCCTGGAGGTGGAGTTATGGGCCTGCAGTAGAGATATGGGCCTGAAGTGGAGATATGGGCCTGGAGTGGAGATATGGGCCTAGAGGTGGAGTTATGGGCCCGGAGGTGGAGTTAAGGGCATGAAGTGGAGATCTGGGCCTGGAGTGGAGATATGATCCTGGAGTGGAGATATGGGCCTGGGGTGGAGATACGGGCCTGGAGCAGACATACAAGCCTGGAAAGGAGATATGGGCCTGGAGAGGAGATAGAAGCCTGGAGTGGAAATATGGGCCTGGAGTGGAGATATGAGCCTGGAGTGGATATATGAGCCTGGAGTTGAGATAGGAGCCTGGAGTGGAGATATGGGCCTGGAGTGGACTTATCAGCCTGGAGAGGAGATATGGGTCTGGAGTGGAGATACGGACCTGGAGTGGAGATCTGGGCCTGTTGTGTAGATCTAGGCCTGGAGGTAGAGATCTGGGCCTGGAGGCTGAGTCTCTGCACAGCCGAGATCCTTGTTCCTGGGGGCAGGTAGGCAGCGAGGGTGAGTTTACCTTCAGCCCAGCAAGGGCCTGGCTGCCAAGACGCACAACCCAGTGGGGGCAGCAGGGTGCCCTGGTTTGCCTGCAGATGGATGGTCCATCATGATCTTTCTTTCTAGGGTTGTTCTTGGTCCAGAGGGCCGGTCCACACATGGGTGAGTCCTTCCCCAAACCTTAGGGTGTCATCTCCCCACATAAGAGGATTTTCCTGAAATGGGAGGGAAGTCCTGTCGGGGAGTCTCTCATACACTAGGAAGAGGGGACCCTCGGATGCTCGGCCCACATTTCTGACCTTGCCCTCCCCGGCCTTTCTTTCCCTTTCCTGAGTCAAGCTCTGTGAAGACTGGGGTGAGACTAGGGTGCTCCAAGATGGGTGTGCAGGGAGGAAGTGGTGTCAGCAGCAGAGAAAGAGAGGGAAGCAGTGCTAGGAACAGCAGGTCCTCTGAGGACAAAGGTGTAACTCACACCCTCCAGCGTTTCCGTGATGGTAGGGGCTGCAGTGTGGCTGCGGTCTTTCTACCAGAAAAGGTGAGGAAACCACAGCCATGGCCCTGACATTCCAAATCCTCTGATGGGGGCTCAGTTCATCAATTGGCTGATATTCCATTCACATAGGACTTGCCCTCCATGCCGTGTCTACTTTGTATTGTTTTATATGAGTAATTTTGCAGTATTAAAATCTAGTAAGAGTTGCTTCTCCAGCACTTGCTCAAAGTTCTCAGCTGACACTTGTTGTAGGGAGACGCCATGTCTATGCAGGATGGGTCCTTCCTGTAGCCCTGGGCACCCAGGTGTGGTAGGAGCCTTAGAAAGTGGAAATGGGGAGAATCTTCTGGGCACTGGGAGTGAGGGGCGGCTCCACATCCTCCTCTCTAAGGCAGTGCCTCCTTCTCCCCCAGGTGGTCAGGACAAGCCCTTCCTGTCTGCCTGGCCCAGCGCTGTGGTGCCTCGCGGAGGACACGTGACTCTTCGGTGTCACTATCGTCATAGGTTTAACAATTTCATGCTATACAAAGAAGACAGAATCCACGTTCCCATCTTCCATGGCAGAATATTCCAGGAGGGCTTCAACATGAGCCCTGTGACCACAGCACATGCAGGGAACTACACATGTCGGGGTTCACACCCACACTCCCCCACTGGGTGGTCGGCACCCAGCAACCCCATGGTGATCATGGTCACAGGTCAGAGGCTTTCCGTCTGGGCTTCTCACTGTCCCACCTCCTGAATCCCAGAGCTTCTGGTGGGGCTGTCCGTCAGGGTCCCATCACCCAGGCCCTGGCTGTATTTGGGGTCAAGGGAGATTGAATACAGGGCAAATGGGTGCTGTGGTGGGAAGAATAACTGTCCCCAATGATGGCTACATTGTAATCCCTGGAGCCTGTGACTATTTATGTTATAGGGCAGGGGACTGAAGGGGAAGGTGGAGCTCAGGTTGTTGATGAGTTGACCTTGAGATGGGGAGACAGCCTGGACTGTCCCACTGGGCTCAGTGTAATCACAAGGGTCCGCGTGAGAGGTGGAGGAAGAGGGGAGTGGGGATTAGAGCAGTGTAGTGGGAGGGAGACGCTATCAGCCACTGCGGGCTTTGAAAGTGGAGGAAGACCACTAGTCACAGAATGCAGGTGGCCTCTAAGGGCTGGAGAAGTCAGGAGAACTGATTCGCTGATTCTCCAGAGGGAACGCAGCCCTGTAGACGCCTTGATTTCAGCACAGGGAGAACTGGATCCAATTTCTGTCTCCAGAAGTGGAAGGGGTCAGTGTGTTCTCTCCTGCTGCCATGTTTGTGGTAATTTTCTGCAGCAGCAACAGGAAACCAACACAGGAACCCAGGTCAAGGACAAGTTAGGAACCCAGGTCAAGGACAAGTTAGGAAACCAAACAAGGACAGCCAGGTGTGGTGGTGGGCGCGAGTAATCCAACGACTGGGGAGGCTGAGGCAAGAGAATCACTTGAACTGGGGAGGCAGAGGTTTCAGTGAGCCAAGACAACACCACTACACTCCAGCCTGGGTGAAAAAGTGACTGTCTCAAAAATAAATTAATTAATCAATTAATTAAAGAAACCAAACAAGGAGAAGGTTGGCTACCCTGAGATCAGCAAGGGCAGGATGCTGATGTTACCACCAGGCTCCATCCACATAGGAAGGGGTTGATGCTCCTGGAACCAGCACCAGGGGCCACCCTATGGAAGCTGGGGCCATGGAGAAGGCACAGACATGGCAGGAGAGGCTCCCAATCCCCATCAGGAACAGGGTGTGTGGTCACTGATGTCTGTCTTACTGATGAGTTGATACCACCTGCCAGAGACTCCAATTTGTTCAAAAGAGATTGATTCAGGCTGCTAAGAGCCTGGACATGCAGCCTGTCCTCTTCCACCCCCATATAAACAGCAGGAAAGAGATTAGTGGGAAACAGATACAACAGCCCAAGAGATGAGGCTGTCTTCACAGTGGCAAGGGAGTCAGGGGCTACTGGAGACAGAGGGACAGAGAAGAGGGAGGAAGACAGATGGAGGCACCTGCACCAGGGGATATGGGCACAGAAAAGACACGGAGATGCAGAGAGGGAGGAGAGAGACAGACACGGGGAGGGGAACCCTCACTCATTCCAGGTGCCATGGATGGGATGATAAAGAGAGATGCCTTCTAAACTCACAACTTCTCTTTCTAGGAAACCACAGAAAACCTTCCCTCCTGGCCCACCCAGGTCCCCTGGTGAAATCAGGAGAGAGAGTCATCCTGCAATGTTGGTCAGATATCATGTTTGAGCACTTCTTTCTGCACAAAGAGTGGATCTCTAAGGACCCCTCACGCCTCGTTGGACAGATCCATGATGGGGTCTCCAAGGCCAATTTCTCCATCGGTTCCATGATGCGTGCCCTTGCAGGGACCTACAGATGCTACGGTTCTGTTACTCACACCCCCTATCAGTTGTCAGCTCCCAGTGATCCCCTGGACATCGTGGTCACAGGTGAGAGTGTCTAGACATTGTTCTCATTGTCACTGGGACACAGAGTGAATGATCCAGGACTTGGAACCCCCAGGTGGTCATGAGGAAGATAAGTGTGGGATTCTTATGGAAAGAGAGTGACTTGGTGAGGTCTGTACCAACAGAGACAGAGAAACAGGAGACATAAGTACAGAACAGGTGTCATAACAGGGGACAGACACAGGGGCCATACAGGGAGGTAGAAAAGAGAGAAAGAGGTAAAGGAGACACTCAGACAGACAGACATGTCCCAGAGAGAGGTGTCCTTCCATGCTGACTTTGCTCAGAGACCTGGCACAGGTTAGAAGTTTCATTTCTGTTTTACCTCCACAAAGTGTTTCTACCAGAAGAACCCAAGGACACCCATATTTCTGACCTGAGTTGGGCCCTGTGGCCTCAGGCCTTGTGCCACCTACAGATGCCGTGTTTATTCTGACACCTCTGCCTTCCATGCAATGGAGAGTAATCATCCCAGGATATCATGGCCCCAGAACACCAACCCCTGTATGCTGTGTGAACTTGGGGTCCCCAGACTGGATTCTGAGGCTCATATTCCAAATAATCCCACATATGATAGGATCGCTGAGAGACACAGAGAAAAATCAGGGACACCAAAAAGCAAAGACATAAACACACACAAAATGAGCCAGAAGAAGGAGATTAAGAGATTCACAGACACATAAAAAGAAAGAAAAGAGGGCAGAGTGGAGAGAATGATGGAAAGGAGGAGAGAAAAGCCCCAAAATCAGAACCCTGAGGGAGGGACACAAAGACAGAGAAAGATAAAGATGTGGGGATGGATTGCAGAGATTCCAAATAGAACTAGAGAGACTGAGAGGCAGAGAAAGACAAGGAGACGGAGAGAGAGAGATGATAGATGGATAGATAGACGTAGATAGATGATAAATAGGTAGATGATAGATAATGGATTGGTTATAGATACATAGATGATGACTGATAGATGATACATAGAGATGATGATGATGACGATGATGATGATAGACACATAGATATATACATAGATGATACATAAATAGAGACAGAGAGGCAGACAGAGAGGTAATAGAGAGAGAGATAGATGATACATATATAGATAATAGATGATTGATGGATAGATAGACAGATAGACAATTGATAGAGAGATAGATAAGTGATACATAAATATAGATGATAGATAATTTGTAGATAGACACAAAATAGATAAATAGATAGATCGATAGATAATAGATAGAAATGTGCAGAAAGTTATGAACAAGACAGAAAGTGAGAGACTCAAAATTAAAGAAAAAGGAAGATCAAGTCAACCAATCCAAGGAGGGTCAGAGAGAATAAAACAATCCAAAAAGGGAAAACATACCTCAGGGTGGGGAAGTGAGGTCATAGACCTAGAGAGACAGAAAAGGTAGAAGGAGGAAACAGATATGAAGAGAGATGGGGTGGAGAGTGAGAGAGAGAGAGAGAGCATTAGGTCATAGAGCAGGGGAGTGAGTTCTCAGCTCAGGTGTGAGGGGAGCTGTGACAAGGAAGAACCTCCCTGAGGAAACTGCCTCTTCTCCTTCCAGGTCTATATGAGAAACCTTCTCTCTCAGCCCAGCCGGGCCCCAAGGTTCAGGCAGGAGAGAGCGTGACCTTGTCCTGTAGCTCCCGGAGCTCCTATGACATGTACCATCTATCCAGGGAGGGGGGAGCCCATGAACGTAGGCTCCCTGCAGTGCGCAAGGTCAACAGAACATTCCAGGCAGATTTCCCTCTGGGCCCTGCCACCCACGGAGGGACCTACAGATGCTTCGGCTCTTTCCGTCACTCTCCCTACGAGTGGTCAGACCCGAGTGACCCACTGCTTGTTTCTGTCACAGGTGAGAAAAGCCCATATCTCTCTCATGTCCTATGATCCTAAATCCTTAGCTAAGGAGCTTCCTGCTGATGATGGAGAAAAGCATGGACAGATGCAGAGAGAAGACACAGCAGGTGTGAGGGCGGAGTCAGGGCGCAGGATGGCAGACAGGGCACCTCCAAACCCTCCTTCATGGCCTGCATGGAGGCCTCCGATCAGGGCTCCAGGCACCCAGGCAGATGGAGAAAGCGGTCAGGACAGACCCAGAGAAGGGGAGACTGGGCTTAGTTTGGGGAGATCAGAGGTTCCCTCAGCCCCTCAATCTTACCCATTTCCCAGAAGCCCATCATGGCCTCTCACCCACACAGAGAGATATCATCACCAGCAACCCCTACACCCTTTTCTTTTCATTTTCAAAAATATTTATTGAGGTTAAATGTAACTATATAATTTACCACCTTTACCATTTTTAAAAGTAAAATCTAGTGGTCATAAATACCTTTATATGCTGGGCGTGGTGGTTCACAGTTGTAATCTCGGCGCTTTGAGAGGCCAAGGAAGGTGGATCATTTAAGATCAGGAACTCGAGATCACCCTGGCCAACATGTGGGAAATTCATCTTTACTAAACAGACAAGAAAAATTAGCCGAGCATGCTGGCATGCACCTGTAGTCCTAGCTACTTGGGAGGCTGAGGCAGGAGAAGCACTTAAAGCCAGGAGGCCGAGGTTGCACTGAGCCGAGATCATGCCACTGCACTGCAGCCTGGGAGACAGAGAGAGACTCTGTTTCTAAATAAATAAATACATCTATATTCTTTTTTTTGTTACCCTCCACCCTTCCCTTCCTGGCCTCTGGTGTCCACCATTGTATTCTCCACCTTCATGAGATCCACCTTTTATCTCCTGCATGTGGGTGAGAAATGGGAATCTTTGTAATGACCTCCAGTTCCATCCATGTGGCTGCAAATGACAGGATGTTATTGTTTCTATGGATGAGTAGTCTCCACTGTGTGTGTGTACCACAGTTCTCTATCCATTCACCCACTGATAGGCAGGTAGGTTGACTCCACATCTTGGCTACTGTGAACAGTGCTGGAACAGTCATATGAGTGCAGATATCACTTCGATACACTGATGTCCTTTCCTTTGGATATAAACCCAGTAGTGAAATTGCTGGATACTATGAAAGTTCTCTTTTTTTTTTTTTTCTTTTTTGAGAAAGAGTTTCCCTCCTTA
The DNA here is from genome assembly GCF_000001405.40 of Homo sapiens. Taxonomy (NCBI): domain Eukaryota; kingdom Metazoa; phylum Chordata; class Mammalia; order Primates; family Hominidae; genus Homo; species Homo sapiens. The sequence goes on along the minus strand of NT_187636.1, from coordinate 79,264 downwards.
GTCCAAGCTGGAGTCTAAGTGGTGAGATCTTGGCTCATTGCAACCTGTGCCTCCTAGGTTCAAATGATTGTCCTGACTCAGCCTCCCTAGTAGCTGTGATTACAGGTGCATGCCACCATGCCTGGCTAATTTTTGTATTTTTTTAGCACAGACGGGATATCCCAATTTTGGGCAGGCTGCTCTCAAACTCCTGACCTCAAGTGAGGTGCCTGCCTCGGTTTCCCAAAGTGCTGAAATTACAGGCATAAGCCACTATGCCCAGCCTCCTTTTAGTTTTTTAAAGAATTTCCATACTTTTCTCCATAATAGTTGTACTAATTTACATTCCTACCAACAGGGTACCAGGGTTCTCCTTTCTCTACCATCTTGCCAGCATTTGTTTTGCCTGTCTTGCAGATAAAAGCCATTTTACTTTACTTTATTTTATTTATTTATTTATGTTGAGATGGAGTTTCACTCATAGTCGCCCAGGCTGGAGTGCAAGGGTGTGATCTCAGCTCACTGCAACCTCCGCCTCCCGCGTTCAACTGATTCTCCTGCCTCAGCCTCCAAAGTAGCTGGGATTACAGGCGTGTGCCACCACGCCTAGCTAATTTTTGTATGTTTAGTAGAGAGGGAGTTTCTCCATGATGGTCAGGCTGGTCTCCCGACCTCAGGTGATCCGCCCACCTCCGCTTCCTGAAGTGCCGGAATTACAGGCGTGAGCCACCGGCCTAAAAGGCATTTTAATGGGATGAGATGAAAACTCATCGCGATTGTAATTTACATTTCTCTGATGATGAGTGATGCCGAGTACTTTTTCATATACGTGATCGCCATTTCTATGTTTTGTTTGTGGAGAAATGTCTCCTCATGTCTTTTGCTCGTTTTTTAATTAAATTGTTTTATTGAGTTGTTTGAGCTTCTTATATTTCCAGTTATTAATCCCGTCTCAGATGAATAGTTTGCAAATATTTGCTCCTATTTTGTGGGTTGTCTCTTCACTTTCTTGGTTTATCTTTTGTGGTGCAGAAGTTGCTTGGTTTGATGTAATCCTAATGGTCTATTTTTTGCTTTGATTACTTGTGTTTTGAAGGTTTTAAACAAAATGTCTTTCGTCAGACAAATGTCTTCCCCATTATTTTCTTCTACATGTTTCATAGGTTCAGGCCTTAGACTCATGTTTTTAATCCATTTTCATTTGATTTTTGTTTATGGTGACAGGTATAGATGCAGTTTTATTCCTCTGCATGTAGATATCCAGTTTTCCCCACACCATTTATTGAAAAGACTGTCCTTTCCTGATTGTGAGTTCTTGGCACCTTTGTCAAAGTCCATTAAATGGGCTGGGTATGGTGGCTCACACCTGCAATTCCAGCACTTTGGGAGGCCGAGGCGGGTGGATCACCTGAAGCCAGGAGTTCAAGACCAGGCTGGCCAACAGAGTGAAACCTCGTCTCTACTAAAAATACAAAAATTAGCTGAGCATGGTGACCAGTGCCTGTAATACCACTACTCGGGTGTTTGAGGCAAGAGAATTGCTTGAATCCAGGAAGTGGAGGTTGCATTGAGCTGAGATTGCACCTCTGCACTCCAGCCTGCATGACAGAGCAAGATTCCATCACACACACACAAAAAAAAGCCATTGGGTGTAAATGCATGGATCATATCCGTGTTCTCCATTCTGTTCCATTTTTTATGTGCCTTTCTTTATGCCAATGTCATGCTGTTTTGCTTACTACAGCTCTGTAACATATTTCTAAGTCAGGTAGTGTGATGCTCCTGTTTTCTCTTTATACCTTCAAGTCTCAAGACAGTGGGCATCGCACACAAAAATTATGGAGAAGAGGATCCCAAGACTCCCAGGGTCCAACATTAGATAACAGAGTGTTGGCCATGAACCAACCTCAAAGATTTCCATTGAGTAGAGGACAAGCACCCTCATTTCCTCACATCTCTCCTGTCCCATGTTCTAGGAAACCCTTCAAGTAGTTGGCCTTCACCCACAGAACCAAGCTCCAAATCTGGTGAGTAAAGGACCCCTCTTATCTCTGCTTTTGGAAACCTGGGGAGGTGGAAGCCTTGGATGCAAGCGTTGGCTCAAACCTCCCAGCTCTGTGAATGAGGGCCTGTCTTCCACCATCTCTGAACTCCAGACACTCCAACAGTGAAAGGGATCTAGGGCCACCAAAGGGCTCAGCGAAGTCTCTTAACCTTTAATGTCCTGCAGGTGAGACCTCCTACAAGCTAGAAGAATGATTGCCAATCTGACATCCTTCTCAGGAAAAATGCAGTGTTTTTTCTGCCTGCATTCCTAACTGGAGGATAAATTCCTGGGGACTTGAGAGAGGGAAGGGAAGGGAACATCTCATGAGGGTGGGTGTTTTAGAGAAGTTCCACTTGCCAAGGAATGAATTACTGTTGGTCATGAAGCAACCCTGGCTGACTCAGCAGAGCAAGAGCCTTGCCGTAACAGAGAACAGAGCTCATGCACGCACACTTCGACTCACTGACTCATTCAGCCACGGCCCCATGCTCAGGCTGTGCAGTTGGAATCCTTTCCTATTGTTGCCATAACAAATTTCCACAAGATTCGTGGGTGAAAATAAAGCGGCTTTTTAATTATCTTACAGTGCTGTAGCTCAAAGTATGAAGTGCATCTCACTGGGCTAAAAACAAGGTGACAGCAAGGCTGCCTTCCCTCTGAGGGTTCCAGGCAAGAATCTGCTTCTCACTTGTCCCAGCTTCTAAAGGCTCCCAGTTCCTTGGCTCCTGGTCCCCTTCCTCCTTCCTCAAAGCCCACAAAGACTGGTCACATCTCACATGGCATCACTCAGACCCTTCTTCCTTACCACACCTCTTTCTCTGAATGCTGCTCTCCCTTCTTCCTTATCTTTTGAAAACTTGGGGATTCTATTGGGTTCACCAAGATGAAAATCCATCATAATCTCCCGGAAATCATTCAGGATACCCTTGTTTTAAGTTCAGCTGACTAGCAACCGTAATTCCATCTGCAATCTTCATTCCTCCTTTCCATGTAAAATAACATATTCACAAGCTATGGAGGCCAGGACAGGGACATTTTGGGGTGGGACAGCATTCTCCTGCCTTCCACGAACGGTGAACAAGATGCATTTGGCCTCTGCTCTTGGGACACTGATATTGCAGATGGTTAAATGGGAGGGCAGAAAATGAATGCACAAGTGGACCAATAAATGAATGATCCATTGGGAAGCATCTGTGCATGAAATCTATTTGTTTGTTCGTTCATTTATTTATTGAGACAGAGTCTCCCTCTGTCTTCCAGGCTACAGTGCAGTGTCACGATCTTGGCTCACTGCAACCTGCGTCTCCTGGATCCAAGTGATTCTCCTGCCTCACCCTCTCGAGTAGCTGGGATTACAGGCAACTGCCACCATGCCCGGCTAACTCTTTTTGTATATTTTTTGTAGAGAGGATGTTTCACCATGTTGGCCAAGCTTGTCTGAAACTCCCAACCTCAAGTGATCCGACCATCTCAGCAACCCAAAGTACTGGGATTACAGGCGTGAGCCACTTTGCCCAGCCAGAATTCAAAATCAATAATAGATAATGCTGAGTGTATAATTTTGGGTGACAGAGAAGGTCTCACTAATCAGATATTTGTGACATTAATGAAAAACACGGATTGAACCCCTGAAAGATTGGCGGAAGGATTTTCCACACAGCTGTCAGCTGTGAAGGCACAAAGGTGAAAACAATCTGATGTTGAAGGAAGAGGCTCTGCCTCAAATGCTGGGAATGAAGTGGGGAGAATGACAAGACGACTGTAGAGAGACGGAGAGCACACTGGGTACACAGGAAACTAAGGAGCAACAAGGAGTGTGTGTTTGACACTCACAGCCATTGGATTCACCTCGGGGTAACCAGGAATCCCTACATGATTAATATGACTGACATGAAAATAAAGGAGGCCCAGGTGCGTAACTGGAATCTAGGAGACTGTGGAAAAGGCAATTGCCACCCCACTGGTGAAATGTGGTGCTGATTTAGACCCTAAGTGGATGAAGCAGATGGATATAAGCTATGCTTGGGAGGTAGAATCATTTGCAGGGAGGGCTTGCTGGGTTTGAGTTTCCTAGTTGTTTAATCCTTGCTAAATTAATTTCTTTCTGAGATTTATTCCTCCTACACATAAATCAATACCTGGCAAAGGAGTGACAGATATATGAGGGGTGGTGGAAATGAAGGGACCTATTATAGCATAGTATACAAGTCTGTGAACGGTGGCTCACTCCTGTAACCCAGCACTGCAGGAGGCTAAGGCCAGTGGATTCCAAGAAATCAGGAGTTCGAGACCAGCCTGGCCAACATGGTGAAACCCTATCTCTACATGGTGAAACCCTATCTCTCCTAAAAATACAAAAATTAGCCGAGCATGGTGGTGCATCCCTGTGATCCCAGCTCCTGCTCTGGAGGATGAAGCAGGAGAATGACTTCAACCCAGGAGGTGGAGGTTGCAGTGAGTGGAGATCGCATCACTGCACTCCAGCCTGGGTGACACAAGGAGACTCCGTCTCAAAAAATAAAAATAAGAAATGCATAAATATAATAAAACACACACGAACGACAAAGGCACCTGAATTCCCATCATCATTTTTCTATTTCTCTATAATTACTTCTTTGATTCTTTATCTTATCCATTAGACAATCAGCCTAAAACCTCTTCCGTATTTGGCTTTCTGTGAGCATGAGATCATATAGAAAATGTGAAAGCCCGCTGAATCCTCCAGCACAAATCCTGGAATAGAGAAAGTGCTCTGGTCATCACAAAAAAAACTTGCCCCCTCACCCAAATCCCCCACCTCACCCCTACTTCCAATCACCTGTGCAGATACAGATAGACCATGGGGAGGTAAATGCTAATACTCCTTGGAGTGAGTCCAGATCTTGGAATCAGAGATCAGTGCCAGCACTAGCTCCTGCTCCCCTTTCCTACTAATTCACAGGAGGACAGGTGGTATTGAAGCAATAGATAGTCGAGGGGGTGGTCCTTCCCCCAGCCTGTCAGGTAGAACAGCAGCCTAACATGTGTCTCCCGAGATCACAAAGAATAGCACATTTCACACGGGCTTCAACACTATTTTCTGGCTGTTTGACATAAGAGAATTCTACTTCGCATTTTTGATCTTGATTTCACTTTTGTTTCCTTTTCTTGGAGAATGCAAGTTGTTTAACTCAAGAATGCCGTGGATGTAGAAATCCTAAAGCACATTCGCTGTGTATCAATCCCAGTCCAGTCTTCCCAGAGAAGACTCTAAACACCTCCTGGACTGCACCTGGGCCTATGCCAATTCCTATCACTCACCGTCACTCCAGGGAGACAGAACACACAGAGAACACATTACACAGGCAGGTTCATTACTAACAGATAAGCAGCGAGTGACAACAGAAGCCTACATTTCAATGTGAGCCAGTTCCCCAAGGCTCAGAAAAGCTGCTCGAGACATGTGGAGTCACCCCATTTGCAGTGTAGCTGGGGGAAGCCAGAAAGCAGCCCAACCTGGGTTTTGTACCCTGGAGCCACAGGAAGCACTCAGCTAAAGCACTGCATCACGTCCTCCTCCAGGAAGAACAGGAAGACAGCCCAGGCTGTTCTGGGACTTTCCTCCTGATCTCAGGACGTTGCTGTCTTAGTCCATTTTTGTTGCTCTAAAGGAACACTTGAGCCTGGGTAACTTCTAAACAAAAGATTTTGGTTTGCCTTACAGTTCCGCAGGCTGTACTGGAAGCATGGCACCAGCATCTATTTCTTGTGACTGCCTCAGGCTGCTCCCACTCTGGCAGAAGGGAAGGAGGGTCTGTCTGTGCAGAGACCACAGAGATCACACGGCAAGAGAGGGAGCAAGGGAGAGGGGGAGTGATGGAGCTTCCAAGCTCTTATGAACAACCAGCTCTCCAGGAACTAATAGAGGGAGAACTTGCTAACCCCGTCTCCTTAAAACAGCATTGATCTGTTCATGATGTATCCACCCCCATGACTCAAACACCTCCCAAGAGGCCCACCCTCCCACACTGGGGGGTAAATTTCAATCTGAGGTTTGAAGGGGTCAAACATCTCAACTAAAGTAGTGGTATCCTCAGCACGTTCTATGGTTACTATGAGAGCTATAACTGAGAAAGCAGGAGGAAGCTGGGTCTCCCGCCATCTGGGTGCTTGTCCTAAAGAGACGCTGTATGTGGTTACCTGTGAATCAAGAAATGCAAGACAATTCATAAAGAGGAACTGCTATGATTAGCTTCTTATTGGTGTCTCCTCTTCTTCCAGGTAACCTCAGACACCTGCACATTCTGATTGGGACCTCAGTGGTCAAAATCCCTTTCACCATCCTCCTCTTCTTTCTCCTTCATCGCTGGTGCTCCAACAAAAAAAAGTAAGTCTCACGAAGCAGAGGCCAGAGAGCTCAGGGCCATGTGGGGAAGCAGGATGGGAGCACACGGGTGTGTGTTCCTCACCAGCAGGATGGTCCCTGGCCCAAGACAGGAGCCACAGAGGCAGGACTTTCTAGAGAGAGCACCAGATTCCCTTCCCCTGCCTTCAGCTCACAGACCATTGCCTGATTCTGAACTGTATCCTCACGTCCCCTGCAGCCACTCACATCCAGGAGAAGGTTCCATGACAGGCAGAAAGTGGGAGATAGAATCAATGGAATGGGACCTCAGAGCTATTCATGGGATGGGTCCTTGAACTCAGAGAGATAGAATGTCTGAGTCTGCTGTTGGCAACTGAGGGACCTCAGGCACCTATGGCCTCCCCCTGTTTGTTGGTATCTGCTTATGAAATGAGGACCCAGAAGTGCCCTCCGAGCTCTTTTGTTGACTTCCGTCTTCTACAGATGCTGCTGTAATGGACCAAGAGCCTGCAGGGAACAGAAGTGAACAGCGAGGTAGGTGCTCCTCGGCCCAGCCTCGTGGCTAGTGTTATTCCCAAAGAGTCCTGAAAAATGTGAGCACCCTCCCTCACTCAGCATTTCCCTCTCTCCAGGATTCTGATGAACAAGACCATCAGGAGGTGTCATACGCATAATTGGAACACTGTGTTTTCACACAGAGAAAAATCACTCGCCCTTCTCAGAGGCCCAAGACACCCCCAACAGATACCAGCATGTACATAGAACTTCCAAATGCTGAGCCCAGATCCAAAGTTGTCTTCTGTCCACGAGCACCACAGTCAGGCCTTGAGGGGATCTTCTAGGGAGACAACAGCCCTGTCTCAAAACTGGGTTGCCAGCTCCCATGTACCAGCAGCTGGAATCTGAAGGCATCAGTCTTCATCTTAGGGCATCGCTCTTCCTCACACCACAAATCTGAATGTGCCTCTCACTTGCTTACAAATGTCTAAGGTCCCCACTGCCTGCTGGAGAAAAAACACACTCCTTTGCTTAGCCCACAGTTCTCCATTTCACTTGACCCCTGCCCACCTCTCCAACCTAACTGGCTTACTTCCTAGTCTACTTGAGGCTGCAATCACACTGAGGAACTCACAATTCCACACATACAAGAGGCTCCGTCTTAACGCAGCACTTAGACACGTGCTGTTCCACCTTCCCTCATGCTGTTCCACCTCCCCTCAGACTAGCTTTCAGCCTTCTGTCAGCAGTAAAACTTATATACTTTTTAAAATAACTTCAATGTAGTTTTCCATCCTTCAAATAAACATGTCTGCCCCCATGGTTTCGGTAATGGGACTCTTTTCTTGCCTAAGGCTTCCGGTGTTATCAGTACCATGTCCATATAATCCCATCTGTTCCCCACTGAGTTCTCATCCCTGGACTCTGATCTTCTGGAAGCAGGGTGGAGCCTCATTTGTCTCTGGGACTCCAATTTCCATCCAAAGATGTAGCACATAGGAGGTTCCAAGGATCGCGAATCACATGAACAAGTGATACTCTTACTCTCTGCAGACCTGGAAAGCTGGCAGAGTCATTCCACAATGAAACATTTGTAGAGTCATAGGCCTTGTTAGTCTCATCTCCATGGGGACACATATCAACACATCTTCTTTCATAATATAAATATACGGTCACTCCTCCATATCTGCGGGGTTTACAGGTGTTTATTGAACCAAGTATAAATCAAAAATATTGAGAGAAAGTATCCACAGAGTTTCAAAAAGCATAACTATGTTAAATGGACACAAATGAAGCTGTGTGTAGGCTGTATCAGGAATTATAGGTAATCTAGAGATGATTTCATGTATACAGGAGGATGTGCATAGGTTATTTGCAAATGCTGTGCCATTTCATATAAGAGGCTTGAGCATCTACAGATTTTGGTATCTGAGTGGAGATCTCAAAACCAATCACCCACGAATAGTGAAGGATGACCGTATATGACTTTTATTTCTCAAATTTAAATATAAATCATAAAAAATGTACAACTAGATAAAAACTAAGAAGTGTTTTTATAGTGTCAGTTAGATTTATTTTTTACTAGGTGTAACCCATTGGTTTAATATTATTTATTGAGAAGACATTCTATGCCACCTTAAACCACACAGCAGCCTTTGTCAACTCTAAAGGGATTGTGTGTACATGGATGTATTTTAGACACTGTTTCTGCTAAGGGGCTCTCTGTGTCCACACTCTTGATGACGCTGCACTTTATGTAGCCTTATAGAACCCTTTAAATTTAGTAGCCAGAGCCCTCTAATTTGTTATTATAGGCTATTTGCTTTTTTTTTCTTGAGGCGGAGTCTTGCTCTGTCGCCCAGGCTGGACTGCAGTGACACAATCTCAGCTCACTGCAACCTCCACCTCCCAGGTTCAAGCGATTCTCGTGCCTCAGCCTCTTGAGCAGCTGGCGTTACAGGTGCCTGCCACCAGGCACGGCTAATTTTTGGATTTTTAGCAGAGACACGGTTTCACTATGTTGACCAGGCTGCTCTCAAACTCCTTATCTCAGTTGATCCGCCCACCTCGGCTTCCCAACGTGCTGGGGAAAACTTGATTTTCTATAGCATTATGTTACTGGATATTTCTGTAAAATTTAAAACGAGGGAGGGAGAGAGACAGAGAGAGATCAAACTCCAGAGTTGGGACTCTGGAATCTTGGGTCATGAGACAAATTTTAGATTAAACTACAAAACTCCAGAATTTACAGGTGTGGTTTTTGCTGATAAAGTACAATTCTAAGATTGTAAATAATTGCATAATCCTTCCCTGGGAATTTAAATCATTTTAGCTGGTTCTGCTGTAATACTAGAAATACAAGCATGAAAAATTCTAATGGTTTATTAGTCACAATGACTCCGAAAACATTAATAATACCTATTAGATACTTTGCATATTACACAGGAAGAAGAGTTTGAATCTCAGATAAAAACAATAAAAATACATGAAAAGTCTTTCACGTTAGCACAGATTTTAGGCATCTTGTGTTCGGGAGGTTGGATCTGAGACGTGTTGTGAGTTGGTCATAGTGAAGGACGCGAGGTGCCAATTCTAGTGAGAACAATTTCCAGGAAGCCGTGTTCCGCTCTTGAGCAAGCACCCACTGGGCCTCATGCAAGGTAGAAAGAGCCTGCGTACGTCACCCTCCCGTGATGTGGTCAACATGTAAACTGCATGGGCAGGGCGCCAAATAACATCCTGTGCGCTGCTGAGCTGAGCTGGGGCGCGGCCGCCTGTCTGCACCGGCAGCACCATGTCGCTCATGGTCATCAGCATGGCGTGTGTTGGTGAGTCCTGGAAAGGAATAGAGGGAGGGAGTGCGGGGATGGAGATCTGGGCCCAGAGGTGGAGATATAGGCCTGGAGGTGGAGTTATGGGCCTGGAGTGGAGATCTGGGCCTGGAGTGGATATATGGGCCTGGAGATGGAGTGATGGGCCTAGAAGTGGAGATCTGGGTCTGGAGTGGAGATATGGGCCTGGAGGTGGAGATATGGGCCTGGAGTGGAGATCTGGGCCTGGAGTGGAGATAGGAACCCGGAGGGGAGATAGGAGCCTGGAGTGAAGATATTGGCCTGGGATGGAGATATGGGCCTGGAGTGGAGACATGGGCCTGGAGGTGGAGATATGGGCCTGGAGGTGGAGATATGGGCCTAGAGGTGGATATCTGGGCCTGGAGTGGACATATGGGCCTAGGATGGAGATATGGGCTTGGGGTGGAGATATGGGCCTGGATTGGAGATATGGGTCTAGGGTGGAAATATTGGCCTGGAGTGGAGATATGGGCCTGGAGTGGAGATATGGGCTTGGGGTGGGGATAGGGGCCTGGGGTGCGGATATGGGCCTGGAGGCTGGGTCTCTACACAGCCGACAGCCCTGTTCTTGGGTGCAAGCAGGCACTGAGGGTGAGTTTCCCTTCAGCCCAGCAAGGGCCTGGCTACCAAGACTCACAGCCCAGTGGGGGCAGCAAGGGAGTCCTGGTTTGCCTGCAGATGGATGGTCCATCATGATCTTTCTTTCCAGGGTTCTTCTTGCTGCAGGGGGCCTGGACACATGAGGGTGAGTCCTTCTCCAAACCTTCGGGTGTCATCTCCCCACATAAGAGGATTTTCCTGAAACAGGAGGGAAGCCCGGTGGGGGATTTTCTTATAAACAAGGATGAGGAGACCCTGGGGTGCTCAGCCCACAGTTCCGACCTTGCCCTCCCCAGCCTTCCTTTCCCTTGGCTGAGTCAGGTTCTGTGGGAACCCGGGAGGGTAGACTGGGGTCCTCCAAGCTGGGCTGTGCGGCTGGGATGTGGTGTCACTGGCAGAGGAAGGGAGCAAAGCAGTGCTAGGAACAGCAGGCCTCTGAGGACAAAGGTGTAACTCACACCCTCCAGCGTTTCCATGACGGTAGGGGCTGCAGTGTGGCTGCTGTCATTCTACCTCAGAGGTGGGGGAACCCCAGCCAGGGCCCTGACCTTCCAAATCCTCTGTTGGGGGCTCAGTTGTGTATTGTGGTTCACACATTGGCTGATATTCCATTCACAAAGAACATGCCCTCGACCCCATGTCTATTTGTGTTGTTTTATGTGAGTAATCTTGCAGTATTAAAATCTAGTAGGAGTCCCTTACTCAGCACTTGCTCAAAGTTCTCAGCTGACACTTTTGTTGTAGAGAGACGCCAAGTCTATGCGGGGTGGGTCCTTCCCGTACCCATGGGCACCCAAGTGTGGTAGGAGCCTTAGAAACGAGGAAAGTGGGGAGAATCTTCTGAGCACTGGCAGGGAGGGGCGGCTCCACATCCTCCTTTCTAAGGTGGCGCCTCCTTCTCCCCCAGGTGGACAGGACAAGCCCTTGCTGTCTGCCTGGCCCAGCGCTGTGGTGCCTCGAGGAGGACATGTGACTCTTCTGTGTCGCTCTCGTCTTGGGTTTACCATCTTCAGTCTGTACAAAGAAGATGGGGTGCCTGTCCCTGAGCTCTACAACAAAATATTCTGGAAGAGCATCCTCATGGGCCCTGTGACCCCTGCACACGCAGGGACCTACAGATGTCGGGGTTCACACCCGCGCTCCCCCATTGAGTGGTCGGCACCCAGCAACCCCCTGGTGATCGTGGTCACAGGTCAGAGGACTCATGTCTGGGCTTCTCCTTCTCCCACTTCCTGAATCCCAGAGCATCTGGTGGGGGTGTCCACCAGGGTCCAATCATCCAGGCCCTGACTGTATTTGGTGTCAATGGGGATTGAATACAGGGGAATGGGTGCTGTGGTGGAAAGAGTAACTGTCGGCAGCATGGCTATATTGTAATCCTTGGAGCCTGTGACTATTTATGTTATAGGACATGGGACTGAAGGGGAAGATGGAGTTCAGGTTGTTGATGAGTTGACCTTGAGATGGGGAGACGACCTGGACTCTCCCACTGGGCTCAGTGTAATCACAAGGGTCCACATGAGAGGAGGAGGAAGAGGAGAGTGGGGATTAGAGCAGCGTAGTGGGAGGGAGAGTCCACCAGCCACTGCGGGCTTTGAAAGTGGAGGAAGGCCAGAAGCCACGGAATGCAGGTGGCCTTTAGGGGCTGGAGAAGTCAATGGAACTGATTCTCCCGAGTCTCCAGAGGGAATGCAGCCCTGCAGATGCCTTGATTGTAGCCCAGGAAGAACAGGGTCTGATTTCTGTCAACAGAAGTGTTCTCTCCCGCCGCCGTGTTTGTGATAATTTTCTGCAGCAACAACAGGAAACAACACAGGAATCCAGGTCAAGGACAAGTTAAAAAACCAAACAAGAGGGTTGGCTACCCTAAGGTCAGCAAGGGTGCACTGCTGATGCCACCACCAGGCTGGAGCTGCATAGGGAGGGATCCACAGGGAGAGTCGGGGGTGGAGGGTGAGAGAGAGAGAGAGCATTAGGTCATAGAGCAGGGGAGTGAGTTCTCAGCTCAGGTGTGAGGGGAGCTGTGACAAGGAAGAACCTCCCTGAGGAAACTGCCTCTTCTTCCAGGTCTATTTGGGAAACCTTCACTCTCAGCCCAGCCGGGCCCCACGGTTCGCACAGGAGAGAACGTGACCTTGTCCTGCAGCTCCAGGAGCTCATTTGACATGTACCATCTATCCAGGGAGGGGAGGGCCCATGAACCTAGGCTCCCTGCAGTGCCCAGCGTCGATGGAACATTCCAGGCTGACTTTCCTCTGGGCCCTGCCACCCACGGAGGGACCTACACATGCTTCAGCTCTCTCCATGACTCACCCTATGAGTGGTCAGACCCGAGTGACCCACTGCTTGTTTCTGTCACAGGTGAGGAAAGCCCATGCCTGTCCCATGTCCTGTGATCCTAGAGCCTTAGCTGAGGAGCTTCCTGCTGATGATGGAGAGAAGCATGGACAGATGCAGAGAGAACACGCAGCATGGTGTGAGGGAGGGATCAGGGCACAGGATGGCAGACAGGGCACCTCCAAACCCTCCTGCACGGCCTGCATGGAGGCCCGCGGCCAGGGCTCCAGGCACCCAGGCAGATGGAGAAAGTGGTCAGGACAGACCCAGAGGAGGGAGACTCGGCTCAGTTTGGGGAGATCAGAGGCTCCTCAGACCCTCAACCTTACCCATTTCCCAGAAGCCCATACTGGCCTCTCACCCACACAGAGATGTCATCACCAGCAACCCCTACACCCTTTTCTTTCCGTTTGAAAAAACATTTATTGAGGTTAAATGTAACTATATAATTTGCCACCTTTACCATTTTTAAAAGTAAAATCTAGTGGTCATAAATTCCTTTATATGCAGGGTGCAGTGGCTCACAGTTATAATCTCGGTGCTTTGAGAGGCCAAGGAAGGTGGATCATTTAAGATCAGAGGCTCGAGATCAGCCTGGCCAACATGAGGGAAATTCATCTTTACTAAACAGACAAGAAAAATTGGCTGGGCATGCTGGCATGCACCTGTATTCCTAGCTACATGGGAGGCTGAGGCAGGAGAAGTACGTAAGCCCAGGAGGCAGAGGTTGCACTGAGCTGAGATCAGGCCACTGCACTGCAGCCTGGGAGACAGAGAGAGATTCTGTCTCTAAATAAATAAATACATCTATATTCTTTTTTATTGTTGTTGTTACACTCCACCCTTTACTTCCTGCCCTCTGGTAGCCACCATTCTACTCTCTACCTTCATGAGATCCACCTTTTAGCTCCTGTATATGGGTGAGAAATGGGAATCTTTGCAATGACCTCCAGTTCCATCCATGTGGCTGCAAATGTCAGGATGTTATTCTTTCTACGGATGAGTACTCTCCACTGTGTGTGTGTACTACATTCTCTCTATCCATTCACCCACTGACGGGCAGGTAAGTTGACTCCACATCTTGGCTACTGTGAACAGTGCTGCACCAATCGTATGAGTGCAGATATCACTTCGATACACTGATGTCCTTCCCTTTGGGTTTACACCCAGTAGTGGAATTGCTAGATCCTATCAACAGGGTACCAGGGTTCTCCTTTCTCTACCACCTTGCCAGCATTCATTTTGTCTGTGTTTCAGATAAAAGCCACTTTAATGGGATGAGATGATAGCTCACTGTGATTTCAATTGGCATGATTAGTGATACTGAGCACTTTTTCATGTACATGTTCGCCATTTGTACGTTTTGTTTGTTGAGAAATGTCTGTTCAGGTCTTTTACTAATTGTTAAATTAAATTCATTGTTTTATACCGTTGCTTGAGTTTTATGTATATTCTAGTTATTAATCCCCTCTCAGATGCATACTTCACAAATATTTTCTCCCAATTTGTCTCTTCTTCACTTTGTTGGTTGCTTCCTTTGCGGTGCAGAAGCTGCTTACTTTGATGTAATCCCGAAGGTCTATTATTTTGTTTTGATTTCTTGTGTTTTTGAGATTTCAAATAAAATGTCTTTCCTCAGACAAATGTCCTGGAGCATTTCCCCACTCTTTCCTTTTAGACGCTTAATGGTTTCAGGCCTTAAGTGTTTCTTCCATTTTCATTTGATTTCTGTGTATGGTGAGAGGTAGAGGTGCAGTTTCATCAACTGCATGTAGATACCAGTTTTCCCTGCTCCATTTATTGAAAAGACCGTCGTTTCCTGATTGCAGGTTCTTGGCACCTACAATCGTCAAAGTCCATTGGATGTGAATGCATGAATTATATCTGTGTTCTTCATTCTGCTCCATTGCTCTAAGGGCCTTTATGCCAATGTCATGCTGTTGTGCTTACTACAGCTTTGTAACATATTTTTAAGTCAGGGAGTGTGAGGCCTCCAGCACCTGTTTTGTCTTTATACCTCGAAATCTCAGGACACTGGGCATCATTTAACAATGATGATGGAGAAGGGGACGCCAGGACTCCTAGGGCCCAACATTAGATAACAGAGTGTTGGCCATGAACCAACCTCAAAGATTTCCTTTGAGTAGAAGACAGGCATCCTCATTTCCTCACCTCTCTCCTGTCCTGTGTTCTAGGAAACTCTTCAAGTAGTTCATCTTCACCCACTGAACCAAGCTCCAAAACTGGTGAGTAAAGATCCCTCTTATCTCTGCTTTTGGAAACCTGGGGAGGTTGGTATCTTGGATTCAAGCATTGGCTCAGCACCTCCCAGCTCTGTGATTGTGGGCCTGTCTTCTAACATCTCTGACCCCCAGACACTACAACAGCGAAGGGTATCTGAGGACAGCAAAGGGCTCAGTGAAGTCTCTTCATTTCAAATTTCTGCAGCTGAGACCTCCTCCAAGCTAGACGGACGAGTACAAATCTGACATCCTTCTCAGGGATAATGTGGTGTTTTTTCTGCCTGCATTCCAAATTGGAGGATAAATTCGAGGGGACTTGAGAGAGGGAGGGGAAGGGAACATCTGATGAGGGAAAGGTGATTTAGAGAAGTTCCACTTGCCAAGGAATGAGCCCCTGTTGGTCATGATGCGACCTTGGCTGAGTCAGCAGAGCAAGAGCCTTGCAGTAAGAAGGAACGTAGTTCATCCACGAATATGACACTTCCACTCACTCACTTATTCAGCCACTGCCCTGTGCTCTGACTGTACAGTGTGGAACCCTTTCCTGCTGTTGCCATAATAAATCTCCACAAACTTCATGGATGACAACAACACAGCTTTTAAAATTATCTTACAGTGTTATAGCTCAGAAATATGAAATGCATTTCACTGGGCTAAAATCAAGGTGACTGCGAGGCTGCCTTTTCTCTGAAGGTTCCAGGCGAGAATCGGCTTTTCACATTTCCCAGCTCCCAGAGGTTCCCACGTTCCTTGGCATCTGGTCCCCATCCTCCTTCCTCGAAGTCCACAAAAGCTCGTCACATCTCTCACGTGGCATCACTCAGATCCCTCTTCCTTACCTCACCTCTTTCTCTAAGTGTTGCTCTGACTTTTTCTTCCTCTTTTAAAGACTTTGGGATTCTATTGAGTTTACCAAGATAATCCATCACAATCTCCCTAAAATCACCCAAGATAACCTCTTTTTAAGTTCAGCTGATTAGCAACCATAATTCCATCTGCAATCTTTATTCCTCCTTTCATGTAAAATAACATATTCACAAGCTATGGAGGCTAGGACAGGGACATTTTGGGGGTGGGCCAGCATTCTCCTGCCTTCCACAAATGGTAAACACGATGCATTTGGCCTCTGCTCTTAGGACACTGACATTGCAGATGGGCAAATGGGAGGGCAGAATATGAATGCACAAGTGGACCAGTAATGATTGATCCATTGGGAAGCATCCGTGCATGAAATCTATTTACCTATTTATTTATCTATTTATCTATTTATGTATTTATTTATTTGCGGCGAAGTCATTCTCTGTCCCCGGGCTGGAGTGCAGTGGCATGACCTCAGCTCACCACAACCTCCGCCTCCCGGGTTCAGGCGATTCTCCTGCCTCAGCCTCCTGACTAGTTGTGATTCCAGTCCCCTCCACCACACCCAGCTAATTTTCTTTTATATTTTTTAGTAGAGATGGAGTTTCACCATGTTGCGCAGATTGTCTCCAACTCCCAACCTCAAGTGATCCGACCGTCTCAGCATCCCAAAATGCTGGGACTCAAGGCGTGAGCCACTGCGCCCAGCCGAAATTTAAAATAAATAATAAAGAATTCTAAGTGTATAATTTCAGGAGACAGAGAAAGTCTCACTAATCAGATAATATTTGTGACCATAATGAAAAAAAAAAGTAGATTCAACCCCTGGAAGATGGGCGGAAGGATTTTCCACACACAGCTGTCAGCCGTGAAGGCACAAATGTGAAAACAATCTGATGTGGAAGGAAGAGGCTCTGCATTCAAATGCTGGGAATGACGTGGGGAGAATGACAAGATGACTGTAGGGAGACGGAGAGCACACTGGGTACACAGGAAACTAAGGAGCAACAAGGAGCGTGTGTTTGACACTCACAGCCATTGGATTCACCTCGGGGTAACCAGGAATCCCTACATGATTAATATGACTGACATGAAAATAAGGGACGCCCAAGTGCGTAACTGGAATCTAGGAGACCGTGGAAAAGGCAATTCCCGCCCCACTGGTGAAATGTGGTGCTGATTTAGACACTAAATGAATGAAGTAGATGGGTATAAGATATGTCTGTGAGGTAGAATCATTTGTAGGGAGGTCTTGCTGGATTTGATAATGCCTACTTATTTAATTTTGAATATATTAATTTCTTTCTGAGATTTATTTTTCCTACATGTAAATCAATATCTGGCAGAGGAGTGATAGATAGATGAGGGGTGGTGCAAATGAAGGGACTTATTATAGCATAATATACAAGTCTGTGAATGGGAGCTTACGCCTGTAACCCAACACTTTGGGAGGCCAAGGCGTTTGGATCACTTGAGGTCAGGAGTTTGAGACCAGCCTGGCCAACATGGAGAAACCCCATGCTCTTTTTAGCAACCAGTCCTAGGGACCTCATGGAGAACTTGCCAACCACGTCTCATGGGGACAGCATTAATGTATTCATGATGGATCCACCCCCATAACTGGAACGTCTCTCAATAGGCCCAGCCTCCCACACTGCGAGATAAGTGTCAACGTGAGGTTTGGCGGGGTCAAACATTCAAACTATAGCAGTGGTATCCCCAGCATGTTCTCTGATTATTTTGAGAACTATAACTGAGAAAGCAGGAGAAAGCTGGGTATCCTGCCATCGGGGAACTTGTCCTAAACAGATGTTGTATGTGCTTAGCTGGCAACCAAGAAATGAGAGACAATCCATAAAGAGGAACTGCTATAATTAGCTTCTTATTGGATTCCCACCTTCCCCCAGGTATCCGCAGACACCTGCACATTCTGATTGGGACCTCAGTGGCTATCATCCTCTTCATCATCCTCTTCTTCTTTCTCCTTCATTGCTGCTGCTCCAACAAAAAGAGTAAGTCTCACGAAGCAGAGGTCAGAGAGCTCAGGACCATGTGGGGAAGCAGGATGGGAGCACACTGGTGTGTGTTCCTGACTGGCAGGATGGTCCCTGGACCAAGGCAGGAGCCACAGAGGCAGGGCTTTCTAGAGAGAGCACCAGACACCCTGCCCCTGCCTTCAGCTCACAGACCATTGCCTGATTCTGAACTGTATCCTCACGTCCCCTGCAGCCACTGACATCCAGGAGAAGGTTCCATGACAGGCAGAAAGGGGAGACAGAATCACTGGGATGGGAACTCAGAGCTATTCATGGGATGGGTCCTTGAGCTCAGAGAGATAGAATGTCTGGGTCTGGCTGATGACAGCTGAGGGACCTCAGGCACCTACGGCCTCCCGCTGTGTGTTGGTGTCTGCTCATGAAATGAGGACCCAAAAGTGCCCTTCCAGCTGTTTTGATGACTTCTATCTCCTACAGATGCTGCTGTAATGGACCAAGAGCCTGCCGGGGACAGAACAGTGAACAGGGAGGTAGGTTCTCCTCAGCCCAGCCTCATGGATTGAGTCTCATTCCCTAATAGTCTTGAAGAATGTGAGCACCCTCCCTCACTCAGCATTTCCCTCTCTCCAGGACTCTGATGATCAAGACCCTCAGGAGGTGACATATGCACAGTTGGATCACTGCGTTTTCACACAGACAAAAATCACTTCCCCTTCTCAGAGGCCCAAGACACCTCCAACAGATACCACCATGTACATGGAACTTCCAAATGCTAAGCCAAGATCATTGTCTCCTGCCCATAAGCACCACAGTCAGGCCTTGAGGGGATCTTCTAGGGAGACAACAGCCCTGTCTCAAAACCGGGTTGCTAGCTCCCATGTACCAGCAGCTGGAATCTGAAGGCATCAGTCTTCATCTTAGGGGATCGCTCTTCCTCACACCACAAATCTGAACATGCCTCTCTCTTGCTTACAAATGTCTAAGGTCCCCACTGCCTGCTGGAGAGAAGACACACACCTTTGCTTAGCCCACAATTCTCTATTTCACTTGACCCCTGCCCACCTCTCCAACTGAACTGGCTTACTTCCTAGTCTACTTGAGGCTGCAATCACACTGAGGAACTCACAATTCCAGACATACAAGAGGCTCCCTCTTAACATGGCACTGAGACACGTGCTGTTCCACCTTCCCTCATGCTGTTTCACCTTTCCTCAGACTATTTTCCAGCCTTCTGTCAGTCAGCAGTGAAACTTATAAAATTTTTTGTGATTTCAATGTAGCTGTCTCCTTTTCAAATAAACATGTCTGCCCTCATTGCTTTAGGTAATGTGACACTATTCGCTGAAAGAAACCGCTGTTATCATTACCATGTCCACATAACCCCATCTGTTATCCACTGGGTTCTCTCCCCTGGACTCTGAGCTTCTGGAAGCAGGGTGGAGCCTCATTTGTCTCTGGGACTCCAATTTCCATCCAAAGATGCAGCACATAGGAGGTTCCAAGGATCATGAATCACATGAACAAGTGATATTCTTACTCTCTGCAGACCTGGAAAGCTGGCAGAGTCATTCCACGATGAAACATTTGTAGAGTCATAGGCCTTGTTAGTCTCATCTCCATGGGGACACATATCAACACATCATCTTTCATGCTATATATATATATACAGTCGCTCCTCCGTATCTGTGGGGTTTACAGGTGTTTATTGAACCAACTATAAATAAAAAATATTCAGAGAAGAAAATCCACAAACTTTCAAAAAGCAAAACTATGTTGAAGGGACACAAATGAAGCAGTGTGTAGGCCATATCAGGAATTATAAGTAATCTAGAGATGATTTCATGTACACAGGAGGATGTGCATGGGTTATATGCAAATGCTGTGCCATTTCATGTAAGAGGCTTGAGCATCTGCAGATTTTGGTATCTGAGTGGAGATCCTGAAACCAATCACCCAGGAATAGTGAAGGATGACCGTATAAAACTGTTATTTCTCAATTTTAAATATAAATCATAAAAAAATTATAAACTAGATAAAAACAAGAAGTGTTTTTATAGTGTGAGAATAAGTTTAGATTTATTTTTTCCTACGTGTAACCCTTTGGTTTAATATTATTTATTGAGAAGACATTCTATGCCACCTTAAACCACAGGGCAGCCTTTGTCAACTCTAAAGGGACTGTGTGTACACGGATGTATTTTAGACACTGTTTCTGCTAAGGGGCTCTCTGTGTCCACACTCTTGAGGATGCTGCACTTCATGTAGCCTTATAGAACCCTTTAAATTTAGTAGCCAGAGCCCTCTAATTTGTTATTATAGGCTACTTGCTATTTTTTTTTTCTTAAGGCGGAATCTTGCTCTGTCACCCAGGCTGGACTGTAGTAGTGCAATCTCAGCTCACTGCAAACTCCGCCTCCCAGGTTCAAGCGATTCTCGTGCCTCAGCCTCTTGAGTAGCTGGCATTACAGGTGTCTGCCACCAGGCACGGCTAATTTTTGAATGTTTAGCAGAGACACGGTTTCACTATGTTGGCCAGGCTGCTCTCAAACTCCTCATCTCAGTTGATTCGCCCACCGCGGCTTCCCAACATGCTGGGGGAAACTTGATTTTCTATAGCATTATGTTACTGGATATTTCTGTAAAATTTAAAATGAGGGAGGGACAGAGACAGAGAGAGAGCAAACTCCAGAGTTGGGACTCTGGAATCTTGGGTCATGAGACAAATTATAGATAAAACTATAAAAATCCAGAATTTACATGTGTGGTTTTTGCTGATAAAGTACAATTCGAAGATTGTAAATAATTGCATAATCCTTCCCTGGGAATTTAAATCATTTTAACTGGTTCTGCTGTAATACTAGAAATACAAGCATGAAAAATTCTAATGGTTTATTAGTCACAATGACTCTGAAAACATTAATAATACCTATTAGATATTTTGCATATTACACATGAAGAAGAGTTTGAATCTCAGATAAAAACAATAAAAATACATGAAAAGTTTTTCACGTTAGCACAGATTTTAGGCATCCTGTGTTCCGGAGGTTGGATCTGAGACGTGTTTTGAGTTGGTCATAGTGAAGGACACGAGGTGTCAATTCTAGTGAGAACAATTTCCAGGAAGCCGTGTTCTGCTCTTGAGCGAGCACCCACTGGGCCTCATGAAAGGTAGAAAGAGCCTGCGTACGTCACCCTCCCATGATGTGGTCAACATGTAAACTGCATGGGCAGGGAGCCAAATAACATCCTGTGCGCTGCTGAGCTGAGCTAGGGGTGCGGCCGCCTGTCTGCTCCGGCACCACCATGTCGCTCATGGTCATCAGCATGGCATGTGTTGGTGAGTCCTGGAAGGGAATAGAGGGAGGGAGCGCGGGGATGGAGATCTGGGCCCAGAGGTGGAGATATAGGCCTGGAGGTGGAGTTATGGGCCTGGAGTGGAGATATGGGCCTGGAGGTGGAGATATGGACCTGGAGTGGAGATATGAGCCTGGAGTGGAGATATGGGCCTAGAGTGGAGATATGGGCCTGGAGGTGGAGATCTGGGCCTGGAGTGGAGATCTGGGCCTGGATTGGAGATATGGGCCTGGAGTGGAGATATGAGCCTGGAGTGGAGATATGGCCCTGGAGTGGAGATAGGGGCCTGGAGTGCAGATATGGGCCTGGAGTGGAGATGTGGGTCTGGAGTGCAGATATGGGC
Organism: Homo sapiens; assembly: GCF_000001405.40. Classification (NCBI taxonomy): domain Eukaryota; kingdom Metazoa; phylum Chordata; class Mammalia; order Primates; family Hominidae; genus Homo; species Homo sapiens. Next base: position 57,811 of record NT_187636.1, on the reverse strand, counting down.
CTGGAGGTGGACATAAGGGCCTGGAGTGGAGATATGGGCCTAGAGTGGAGATATGAGCCTGGAGATGGAGATATGGGCCTGGAGTGGAGATATGGGCCTGGAGGTTGGAGATATGGGCCTGGAGTGGAGATATGGGCCTGGAGCGGAGATATGGGCGTGGGGTGGAGATATGGGCCTTGAGTGGAGATATGGGACTGAAGTGGAGATATGGGTGTGGGGTGGAGATATGGGACTGGAGTGCAGATATGGGCATGGGGTGGAGATATGGGACTGGAGTGGAGATATGGGCGTGGAGTGGAGATATGGGACTGGAGTGGAGATATGGGCGTGGGGTGGAGATATGGGCCTGGAGTGGAGATATGGGCGTGTGGTGAAGATATGGGCCTGGAGTGGAGATATGGGCCTGGAATGGAGATATGGGCGTGGGGTGGAGATATGGGACTGGAGTGGAGATATGGGCCTGTTGTGGAGATATGGGCTTGGAGTGGAGATATGATCCTGGAATGTAGTTATGGGCCTGGAGGTGGAGATCTGGGCCCGGGGTGGAGATATGGGCCTGGAGTGGAGATATGGGCCTGGAGAGGAGATATGGGCCTGGAGTGGAGATATGGGCCTGGACTGGAGTTATGGGCCTGGGGTGGAGATCTGAGCCTGGATTGCAGATGTGGGCCCAGATTGGCTATATGGGCCTAGGGTGGGAATATCAGCCTGGAGTGGAGATATGTGCCTGGAGTGGAGATATGGGCTTGGGGTGGGGATATGGGCCTGGAGGCTGGGTCTCTGCACAGCCGAGAGCCCTGTTCTTGGGTGCAGGTAGGCACTGAGGGTGAGTTTCCCTTCGGCCCAGGAAGGGCCTGGCTACCAAGACTCACAGCCTAGTGGGGATAGCAAGGGAGGCCTGGTTTGCCTGCAGATGGATGGTCCATCATGGTCTTTCTTTCCAGGGTTCTTCTGGCTGCAGGGGGCCTGGCCACATGAGGGTAAGTCCTTCTCCAAACCTTAAGGTGTCATCTCCCCACATAAGAGGATTTTCCTGAAACGGGAGGGAAGTCCTGTCGGGGAGTCTCTCTTAAACTAGAAAGAGGGGACCCTGGGGTGCTTGGCCCACAGTTCCGACCTCGCCTCCCCAGCCTTTCATTTCCTTGGCAGAGTCAAGTTCTGTGGGGACCAGGGTTACACTAGGGTGCTCAAAGCTGGGTTGTGTGGTGGGGAAGTGGTAGGAACAGCAGATCCTCTGAGGACAAAGGTGTTACTCACACACTTCAGCGTTTCCATGATGGTAGGGGCTGCAGTGTGGCTGCTCTCATTCTACCAGAAGAGGTGGGAAACCACAGCCATGGCCCTGACATTCCAAATCCTCTGATGGGGGCTCAGTTGTTTATTTTCATTCAGGCATCTGCTGATATTCCATTCTCAAAGGACATGCCCTCCACCCCATGTCTACCCTGTGTTGTTTTATGTGAGTAATCTTACAGTATTAAAATCTAGTAGGAGTCTCTTACTCAGCACTTGCTCAAAGTTCTCAGCTGACATTTTTGTTGTAGGGAGACACCTTGTCTTTGTGGGATGAGTCCTTCCTTTAGCCCTAGGCACCAAGGTGTGATAGCAGCCATAGAAATGTGGAAAGTGGGGAGAATCTTCTGAGCACAGGGAGGGAGGGGCGGCTGCACATCCTCCTCTCTAAGGTGGCGCCTCCTTCTCCCCAAGGTGGTCAGGACAAGCCCTTGCTTTCTACCTGGCCCAGCCTTGTGGTGCCTCCAGAACATGTGACTCTTCGGTGTCACTCTAATCTTGGGTTTAACAACTTCAGTCTGTACAAGGATGATGGGGTGCCTGTCCCTGAACACTACAACAGAATATTCTGGAAAAGCCTTTTCATGGGCCCTGTGACCCCGTCACACACAGGGACCTATAGATGCCGGGGTTCACACCCACACTCCCCCAGTGGGTGGTCGGCACCCAGCAACCCCCTGCTGATCATGGTCACAGGTCAGAGGGCTCCTGTCTGGGATTCTCCTTGTCCCACCTCCTGAATCCCAGAGCTTCCGGTAGGCATGTCCTTGAGGGTCCCTTCACGCAGGCCCTGACTGTATTTGGGGTAAAGGGGGATTGAATACAGGGAAATGGGTACTGTGGTGAGAAGAATAATTGTCCCCAGTGATGACTACATTCTAATCCCTGGAGTCTGTGACTATTTATGTTATAGGGGAAGGGACTGAAGGGGAAGATGGAGCTCAGGTTGTTGATGAGTTGACCTTGAGATGGGAGAAGGCCTGGACTGTCCCCCTGGGCTCAGTGTAGTCACAAGGGTCCACATGAAAGGAGGAGGAAGAGGAGAGTGGGGATTAGAGCAGCATAATGGGAGTCTCCATCAGCTTTGAAGGTGGAGGAAGGCCAGGAGCCATGAATGCAGGTGGCCTATAGAGGCTGGAAAAGTCAAGGAACTGATTCTCCTGAGTCTCCAGAGGGAACGAAGCCCTGCAGGTGCCTTGATTTTAGCCCAGGAAAAACAGGGCCCGACTTCTGCCTCCAAAAATGGAAGGGGTCAGTGTGCTCTCTCCTGCTGCCATGCTGCTGATAATTTTCTACAGCAGCAACAGGAAACCAACACCGGAACCCAGCTCGAGGAAAAGTTAAGAAAGGACACAAGGATAGCCGGGCGTGGTGGCAGGTGCATGTAATCCTAGCGACTTGGGAGGCTGAGGGCAGGAGAATCACTTGAACCCAGGAGACAGAGGTTGCAGTGAGCCTAGACCACACCACTTCACTCCAGCCTGGGCAAAGGAGTGAGACTCTGTCTCCAAAATTAATTAATTAAAGAAACCAAACAAGGAGAAGGTTGGCTACACCAAGATCAGCAAGTGTGGGATTATGATGCCACCACCAGGCTCCATCCACATAGGGAGCGGTTGATACTCCTCCAACCAGCACCAGGAGCCAGGCTATGGAAGCTGGTACAGGCATGGCAAGAGTGGCTCCCAGTCCCCACCAGGAAAAGGGTGTGTGGACACTGGTGCCTGCCTTACTGTTCAGTTCATACCTCCTGCCAAGGATTCCAATTCGTCCAAAAGAGATTGAACCAGGCTGCTAAGAGCCTGGATGTGCAGCCTATCCTGGTTCCTCTTCCACCCCCACATAGACAGCAGGAAAGACATTAGTTCAAAATAGATACAACAGCCGAAGAGATGAGGCTGAGCCCAGCGGCAAGGCAATCAGAGGTTACTAGAGACAGAGGGACAGAGAAGAGGGAGGGAGACAGATGGAAGGACCTGCACCAGGAGTTATGGGCACAGAAAAGAACATGAAGACACAGAGAGGAAGGAGAGAGACAGACACCAGGGAGGGGAAGCCTCACTCAATCCAGGTGCCATGGATGGGATGATAAAGAGAGACACCTTCTAAATTCACAAACTCTCTTCCTAGGATTCCGCAGAAAACCTTCCCTCCTGGCCCACCCAGGTCGCCTGGTGAAATCAGAAGAGACAGTCATCCTGCAATGTTGGTCAGATGTCATGTTTGAGCACTTCCTTCTGCACAGAGAGGGGACGTTTAACGACACTTTGCGCCTCATTGGAGAGCACATTGATGGGGTCTCCAAGGCCAACTTCTCCATCGGTCGCATGAGGCAAGACCTGGCAGGGACCTACAGATGCTACGGTTCTGTTCCTCACTCCCCCTATCAGTTTTCAGCTCCCAGTGACCCTCTGGACATCGTGATCACAGGTGAGAGTGTCCAGACATTCTTCTCATTGTCATTCGGACACAGAGTGAATGATCCAGGACTTGGAGGCCCAGGTGGTTGTAAGGAAGATGAGCTTGGTATTCTTATGGAGAGAGACTGACTTGGTGAGGTCTGTACCAACAGAGACAGAGAAACAGGAGACACAAGTACAGACCAGGTGTCATAACAGAGGACAGACACAGGGGCCATTCCGAGAGTTAGAAAAGACAGAAGGAGTTAAAGGAGACAGACAGACAGACATGTCCCAGAGAGAGGTGTCCCTCCATGCTGACTTTGCTCAGAGACCTGGCACAGATTACAAGTTTCATTTCTGTTTTACCTCCACAAAGTGTTCTCTACCAGGAGAACCCAAGGACACCCATATTTCTGACCTGAGTTGGGCCCTGTGGCCTCAGGCCTTCTGGCACCTACAGATGCCGTGTTTATTCTGACACCTCTGCCTTCCAAGTAATGGAGAGTAATCGTCCCAGGATATCATGGCCCCAGAACACCAACCCCTGTATGCTGTGTGAACTTGTAGTCTCCAGACTGGATTCTGAGGCTCACATTCCAAATAACCCCACATATGAAAGGATCACTGAGAGGCACAGAGAAAAATCAGGAACACCAAAAAGCAAAGACATAAACACACAGAGAATGGGCCAGAGGAAGGAGATTGAGAGACTCACAGACACATAAAGAGAGAGAAAAGAGGGCAGAGGAGTGGTGAGAATGATGGAAGGGAGCAGAGAAAAGCACTAAAATTAGAGTCCTGAGGGAGAGGCACAAGGACATAGAAAGATGGAGATGTGGGGATGAATTGCAGAGATTCCAAAGAGAACTAGAGAGACCGAGAGGCAGAGCAAGACAGATGATAGATGGATAGATATAGATAGATGATAAATAGGTAGATGATAGATACTAGGTTATAGATACATAGATGATGATTGATTGATTCATTAATAGATGAGACGTAGAGATGATGATGAAGACAGATAGATAATACATAGAGATAGAGAGGCAGACAGAAGTCATAGAGAGAGAGATGATACATAGATATAGATAACAGATGATTGATGGATAGATAGACAAGTGATAGATACATAGATGATATATAGATATAGATGACAAGTAGAGAATTTGTAGATAGGCACCGAATAGATAAATAGATAGATCAACAGATAATAGATAGAAATATGCAGAAAGTTATGAACAGGACACAAAGTGAGAAACTTAGAATTTAAAAAAGTAACATCAAGTCAACCAATCCAAGGAGAGTCAGAGAGAATAAAACAATCCAAAAACGGAAAACATATCTAGAGGTGGGGAAGCGAGGTCAGAGACCTAGAGAGACAGAGAAGGTGGAAGGAGGAAATAGACATGAAGAGAGATGGGGTGGAGGGTGAGAGAGAGAGAGAGAGAGCATTAGGTCATAGAGCAGGGGAGTGAGTTCTCAGCTCAGGTGAAGGGAGCTGTGACAAGGAAGATCCTCCATAAGGAAAATGCCTCTTCTCCTTCCAGGTCTATATGAGAAACCTTCTCTCTCAGCCCAGCCGGGCCCCACGGTTCTGGCAGGAGAGAGCGTGACCTTGTCCTGCAGCTCCTGGAGCTCCTATGACATGTACCATCTATCCACGGAGGGGGAGGCCCATGAACGTAGGTTCTCTGCAGGGCCCAAGGTCAACGGAACATTCCAGGCCGACTTTCCTCTGGGCCCTGCCACCCAAGGAGGAACCTACAGATGCTTCGGCTCTTTCCATGACTCTCCCTACGAGTGGTCAAAGTCAAGTGACCCACTGCTTGTTTCTGTCACAGGTGAGGAAAGCCCATGGCTGTCCCATGTCCTATGATCCTAGAGCCTTAGCTGAGGAGCTTCCTGCTGAGGATGGAGAGAAGCATGGACAGATGCAGAGAGAAGATGCATCCTCGGTGTGAGGGAGGGATCAGGGCACAGGATGGCCGACAGGGCACCTCCAAACCCTCCTACATGGCCTGCATGGAGGCCCGCAGCCAGGGCTCCAGGCACCCAGGCAGATGGAGAAAGCGGTCAGGAGAGACCCAGAGGAGGGAGACTGGGCTCAGTTTGGGGAGATCAGAGGTTCCCTCAGCCCCTCAACCTTACCCATTTCCCAGAAGCCCATCCTGGCCTCTCACCCACACAGAGATGTCATCACCAGCAACCCCTACACCCTTTACTTTTGTTTGAAGAAATATTTATTGAGGATAAATATACCTATATAGCTTACCACCTTTAACATTTTTTTTTTTTTGAGGCAGAGTCTAGCTCTGTCCCCTATGCTGGAGTGCAGTGGCACAATCTCAGCTCACTGCAACTTCCGCCTCCTGGGTTCAAGCGATTCTCCTGCCTCAGCCACCTGAGTAGCTGGTGCTACAGGTGCGCACCACCACGCCAGGCTACTTTTTGTATTTTTAGTAGAGAGGTGGTTTCACCATGTTGGTCGAGCTGGTCTGCAACTCCTGACCACGTGATCCACCCGCATCTGCCTCCCAAAGTGCTGGGATTACAGGCATGAGCCACCACGCCCAGCCACATTTACCATTTTTAAGTGTAAAGTCTAGTGGTCATAAATACATTTATATATATATATATATATACATTTTTTTTACCCTCCACCCTTTTCTTCCTGCCCTCCAGTAGCCACCATTCTACTCTCTACCTTCATGAGATCCACCTTTTAGCTCCTGTATATGGGTGAGAAATGGGAATCTTTGTAATGACCTCCAGTTCCATCCATGTGGCTGCAAATGACAGGATGTTATTCTTTCTATGGATGAGTAGTCTCCACTGTGCGTATGTACTACATTCTCTCTATCCATTCACCCACTGATGGGCAGGTAGGTTGACTCCTCATCTTGGCTACTGTGAACAGTGCTGCACCAATCATACGAGTGCAGATATCACTTCGATATATTGATTTACTTTCCTTTGGATATAAACCCAGTAGTGAAATTGCTGGATACTATGAAAGTTCTCTTTTTTTTTTTTTTCTTTTTTGAGAAAGAGTTTCCCTCCTTAGCCCAAGCTGGAGTCAAAGTGGTGCGACCTTGGCTCATTGCAACCTCCGCCTCCTGGGTTCCAATGATTTTCCTGCCTCAGCCTCCCTAGTAGCTGGGATTACAGGTGCACGCCACCATGCCTGGCTACTTTTTGGTTTTTTTAGTATAGATGCGGTTTCCCCATGTTGGCTGGGCTGCTCTCAAACTCATGACCTCAACTGAGGTGCCCGCCTCAGTCTCCCAAAGTGCCGGGATTACAGGCCTGATCCACCACACCCAACCTCTTTTTAGTTCTTTAAAGGACTTCCATACTTTTCTCCGTAATCGCTGTACTAATTTACACTCCTCCCAACAGGGTACCAGGGTTCTCCTTTCTCTAGCACTTTGCCAGCATTTCTTTTGCCTGTCTTGCAGCTAAAAGCCATTTTATTTATTTCATTTTATTTTGAGATGGAGTTTTGCTCTTCTCACCCAGGCTGGAGTGCAGTGGCGCTATCTCGGCTCACCACAACCTCCACCTCCCAGGTTCAAGCGATTCTCCTGCCTCAGCCTCCCGAGTAGCTGGAATTACAGGCACACGCCACCACGCCCGACTAATTTTTGTATTTTTAGTAGAGACAGCGTTTCTCTATGTGGGTCATACTGGTCTCAAACTCCCGACCTTATGAGATTCACCCACCTCAGGCTCTCAAAGTTCTAGGATGACAGACGTGAGCCACCTCACCCGGCCTAAAATCCATTTTAATGGGGTGAGATGAAAACTCACTTTGATTTTAATTTGCATTTCTCTGATGATGAGTGATACTGAGCACTTTTTCATATGTGGGGAAATTTCATGTCTTTTGCTCCTTTTTCAATTAAATCATTTGTTTTATTGAGTTGTTTGAGCTTCTTATATTTCTAGTTATTAATCCCATCTCAGATGCATAGTTTGCACATATTTGCTCCCAATCTGTGGGTTGTCTCTTCACTTTGTTGGTTTATTTTTAGCAGTGCAGAAGTTGCTTAGTTTGAGGTAATCCCAATGGTCTATTTTTGCTTCGATTACTTGTGTTTTCAAGGTTTAAAACAAAATGTCTTCCTTCAGACAAACGTCCTGGAGCATTTCCCCAATATTTCTTCTACGTGTTTCATAGGTTCAGGCCTTAGACTCACATCTTTAATCCATTTTCATTTGATTTTTGTGTATGGTGACAGGTAGAGGTGCAGTTTCATTCCTCTGCATGTAGATGTCCAGGTTTCCCTGCACTGTTTATTGAAAAGACTGTCCTTTCCTGATTGTGAGTTCTTGGCACCTTTGTCAAAGTCCATTGGATGGGCTGGGCTTGGTGGCTCACACCTGCAATTCCAGCACTTTGGGAGGCCGAGGCGGGTGGATTACCTGAGGCCAGGAGTTCAAGATCAGTCTGGCCGACGTGATGAAACATCGTCTCCACTAAAAATATAAAAATTAGCTGAGCATGGTGGTCAGCACCTGTAATACCACTACTCAGGAGTTTGAGGCAAGAGAATGATTGAACCCAGGAGGCTGAGGTTGCAGTGAACTGAGATTGCACCTCTGCACTCCAGCCTGAGTGACAGAGCAAGACTCCATCTCAAAAGAAAAAATAAAAAACCATTGGATGTAAATGCATGGAATATATCTGTGTTATTCATTCTGCTCCATTGTTCTATGTGCCTTTCTTTATGCCAATGTCATGCTGTTTTGCTTACTACAGCTCTGTAACATATTTTGAGATCAGGTAGTGTGATGCTCCTGTTTTCTCTTTATACCTTGAAGTCTCAAGACAGTGGGCGTCACATACAAAAATTATGGAAAAAAGGATCCCAGGACTCCCAGGGCCCAATATTAGATAACAGAGTGTTGGCCATGAACCATCCTCAAAGATTTCCACTGAGTAGAGGACAGACACCCTCATTTCCTCACCTCTCTCCTGTCTCATATTCTAGGAAACCCTTCAAATAGTTGGCCTTCACCCACTGAACCAAGCTCCAAAACCGGTGAGTACAGAACCCTCTTATATCCGCTTTTGGAAACCTGGGGAGGTGGAAACCTTGGATTCAGGCGTTGACTCAGCATCTCACAGCTCTGACATTGTACCCCTGTCTTCCACCATCTCCGAACTCCAGATACTCCTACAGCGAAAGGGATCTGGGCCCAACACAGGGCTCAGTGAAATCTCTTCATCTCTCATTTTATGGAGCTGAGACCTCCTACAAGCTAGAAGAATGATTGCCAATCTGACATCCTTCTCAGGAAAAATGCAATGTTTGTTCTGCCTGCATTCCTAACTGGAGGATAAATTCCTGGAGACTTGAGAGAGGGAAGGGAAGGGAACATCTGATGAGGGCGAGGTGTTTTAGAGAAGTTCCACTTGCCAAGGAATGAGCTCCTATAGGTCATGAAGCAACCCTGGCTGACTCAGCAGAGAAAGAGCCTTGCTGTAACAGAGAACAGAGCTCATGCACGCACACTTCGACTCACTGACTCATTCAGCCACGGCCCCATGCTCAGGCTGTGCAGTGTGGAAGCTTTTCCTATTGTTGCCATAACAAATTTCCACAAGATTCGTGGGTGAAAACAAAACGGTTTTTTAATTATCTTGCAGTGCTGTAGCTCAAAGTATGAAGTGCATCTCACTGGGCTAAAATCAAGGTGACAGCAAGGCTGCCTTCCCTCTGAGGATTCCAGGCAAGAATCTGCTTCTCACTTTTCTCAGCTTCTAGAGGCTCCCACATTCCTTCGCTCCTGGTCCCCTTCCTCCTTCCTCAAAGCCCACAAAGGCTGGTCACATCTCACATGGCATCACTCAGACCCTTCTTCCTTACCACACCTCTTTCTCTGAATGCTGCTCTCCCTTCTTCCTCATCTTTTGAAAACTTGGGGATTCTATTGGGTTCACCAAGATGAAAATCCATCATAATCTCCCGGAAATCATTCAGGATACCCTTGTTTTAAGTTCAGCTGATTAGCAACCATAATTCCATCTGCAATCTTCATTCCTCCTTTCCATGTAAAATAAGATATTCACAAGCTATGGAGGCTAGGACAGGGACATTTTGGGGTGGGACAGCATTCTCCTACCTTCCACAAACAGTGAACAAGATGCATTTGGCCTCTGCTCTTGGGACACTGATATTGCAGATGGTTAAATGGGAGGGCAGAAAATGAATGCACAAGTGGACCAATAAATGAATGATCCATTGGGAAGCATCTGTGTATGAAATCTATTTGTTTGTTTCTTCATTTGTTTATTGAGACAGAGTCGCCCTCTGTCTTCCAGGCTACAGTGCAGTGTCACCATCTTGGCTCACTGCAACCTGCACCTTCTGGATCCAAGTGATTCTCCTGCGTCAGCCTCTCAAGTAGCTGGGATTACAGGCAACTGCCACCATGCCCGGCTAATTCTTTTTGTATATTTTTTGTAGAGGATGTTTCACCATCTTCGCCAAGCTTCTCTGAAACTCCCAACCTCAAGTGATCCGACCGTCTCAGCATCCTAAAGTACTGGGATAACTGGCGTGAGCCACTGTGCCCAGCCAGAATTTAAAATAAATAATACATAATGCTGAGTGTATGATTTTGGGTGACAGAGAAGATCTCACTAATCAGATATTTGTGACATTAATGAAAAACACGGATTGAACCCCTGAAAGATTGGTGGAAGGATTTTCCACACACAGCTGTCAGCCGTGAACGCACAAAGGTGAAAATAATCTGATGTTGAAGGAAGAGGCTCTTCCTCAAATGCTGGGAATGACGTGGGGAGAATGACAAGACGACTGTGGAGAGACGGAGAGCACACTGGGTACACAGGAAACTAAGGAGCAACAAGGAGTGTGTGTTTGACACTCACAGCCATTGGATTCACCTCGGGGTAGCCAGGAATCCCTACATGATTAATAGTGACTGACATGAAAATAAGGGAGGCCCAGGTGCGTAACTGGAATCTAGGAGACCGTGGAAAAGGCAATTCCCGCCTCACTGGTGAAATGTGGTGCTGATTTAGACCCTAACTGGGTGAAGCAGATGGATATAAGATATGCTTGTGAGGTGGAATCATTGGCTGGAAAGGCTTGCTGGGTATGATTTTCCTAGTTGTCTAATCCTCGCTTAATTTCTTTCTGAGCTTTATTCCTACTACACATAAATCAATACCTGGCAAAGGAGTGACAGATATATGAGGGGTGGTGGAAATGAAGGGACCTATTACAGCATAATATACAAGTCTGTGAACGGTGGCTCACGCCTGTAACCCAGCACTGCAGGAGGCCAAGGCGGGTGGATCACACGAAGTCAGCAGTTCGAGACCAGCCTGGCCAACATGGTGAAACCCTGTCTCTAGGAAAAACACAAAAATTAGCCGAACATGGTGGTGCATCCCTGTAATGCCAGCTCCTACTCTGGAGGATGAAGCAGGAGAATGACTTCAACCCAGGAGGTGGAGTTTGCAGTGAGTGGAGATTGCATCACTGCACTCCAGCCTGGGTGACACAAGGAGACTCCGTCTCAAAAAATAAAAATAAGAAATGCATAAATATAAATATAATATAACACACGCAAATGACAAAGGGACCTGAATTCCAATCATGATTTTTCTATTTCTCTATAATTACTTCTTTGATCCTTTATCTTATCCATTAGGCAATGAGCCTAAAACCTCTTCCCTATTTGGCTTTCTGTGAGCATGAGATCATATAGAAAATGTGAAAGCCCGCTGAATCCTCCAGCACAGATCCTGGAATACACAAAGTGCTCTGTTCATCACAAAAAAAACATGCCCTCTCACCCAAATCCCCCACCTCACCCCTACTTCCAATCATCTGTGGAGATTCAGATAGGCCATGGGGAGGTAAATTCTAATACTCCTTGGAGTGAGTCCAGATCTTGGAATCAGAGATCAGCGTCAGCACTAGCTCCTGCTCCCCTTTCCTACTAATTCACAGGAGGACAGGTGGTATTGAAGCAATAGATGGCCGAGGGTGTGGTCCTTCCCCCAGCCTCTGGGGTAGAACAGCAGCCTAACATGTGTCTCCTGAGATCACAAAGAGTAGCACGTTTCACATGGGCTTCAACACTATTTCCTGGCCATTTGACATAAGAGAATTCTACTTCGCTTTTTTTATCTTGATTTCACTTTTGTTTCCTTTTCTTGGAGAATGCAAGTTGTTTGACTCAAGAATGCCGTGGATGTATAAATCCTAAAGCACATTCGCTGTGTATCAATCCCAGTGCAGTCTTCCCAGAGAAGACTCTAAACACCTCCTGGACTGCACCTGGGCCTATGCCAATTCCTATCACTCACCGTCACTCCAGGAAGACAGAACACACAGAGAATACATTACACAGGCAGGTTCATTACTAACAGATAAGCAGCGAGTGACAACAGAAGCCTACATTTCAATGTGAGCCAGTCCCTCAAGGCTCAGAAAAGCTGCTCGGGACATATGGAGTCACCCCATTTGCAGTGTAGCTGGGGGAAGCCAGAAAGCAGCCCAGCCTGGGTTTTGTACCCTGGAGCCACAGGAAGCACTCAGCTAAAGCACTGCATGACGCCTTCCTCCAGGAAGAACAGGAAGACAGCCCAGGCTGTTCTGAGACATTCCTCCTGATCTCAGGACGTTGCTGTCGTAGTTTTTTTTTGTTGCTCTAAAGGAAAACTTGAGCCTCGGTAACTTCTAAAGAAAAGAGATCGGTTTGCCTCACCGTTCTGCAGGCTGTACTGGAAGCATGGCACCAGAATCTATTTCTTGTGACGGCCTCAGGCTGCTCCCACTCTGGCAGAAGGGAAGGAGGGTCTGTCTGTGCAGAGACCGCAGAGATCACACGGCAAGAGAGAGAGTAAGGGGGAGGGGGAGCGATGGAGCTTCCAAGCTCTTTTGAACAACCAGCTCTCCGGGAACTAATAGAGGGGGAACTTGCTAACCCCGTCTCCTTGGGACAGCATTGTTCTGTTCATGATGGATCCACCTCCATGACCCAAACACCTCCCAAGAGGCCCAACCTCCCACAGTGGGGGTGAAATTTCCATGTGAGGTTTGAAGGGGTCAGACATCTCAACTAAAGTAGTTGTATCCTCAGCACGTTCTATGGTTACTATGAGAGCTATAATTGAGAAAGCAGGGGAAAGCTAGGTCTCCCACCATTTGGGTGCTTGTCCTAAAGAGACGTTGTATGTGGTTACCTGTCAATCAAGAAATGCGAGACAATTCATAAAGAGGAACTGCTATGATTAGCTTCTTATTGGTGTCTCCTCTTCTTCCAGGTAACCCCAGACACCTACACGTTCTGATTGGGACCTCAGTGGTCAAACTCCCTTTCACCATCCTCCTCTTCTTTCTCCTTCATCGCTGGTGCTCCAACAAAAAAAGTAAGTCTCACGAAGCAGAGGCCAGAGAGCTCAGGGCCATGTGGGGAAGCAGGATGGTAGCACGCGGGTGTGTGTTCCTCACAGGCAGGATGGTCCCTGGCCCAAGGCAGGAGCCACAGAGGCAGGACTTTCTAGAGAGAGCACCAGATTCCCTTCCCCTGCCTTCAGCTCACAGACCATTGCCTGATTCTGAACTGTACCCTCACGTCCCCTGCAGCCACTCACATCCAGGAGAAGGTTCCATGACAGGCAGAAAGTGGGAGATAGAATCAATGGGATGGGAACTCAGAGCTATTCATGGGATGGGTCCTTGAGCTCAGAGAGATAGAATGTCTGAGTCTGCTGTTGGCAACTGAGGGACCTCAGGCACCTATGGCCTCCCCCTGTTTGTTGGTATCTGCTTATGAAATGAGGACCCAGAAGTGCCCTCCGAGCTGTTTTGTTGACTTCCATCTTCTACAGATGCATCTGTAATGGACCAAGGGCCTGCGGGGAACAGAACAGTGAACAGGGAGGTAGGTGCTCCTCGGCCCAGCCTCGTGGCTAGTCTTATTCCCAAAGAGTCCTGAAAAATGTGAGCACCCTCCCTCACTCAGCATTTCCCTCTCTCCAGGATTCTGATGAACAGGACCATCAGGAGGTGTCATACGCATAATTGGATCACTGTGTTTTCACACAGAGAAAAATCACTCCCCCTTCTCAGAGGCCCAAGACACCCCCAACAGATACCAGCATGTACATAGAACTTCCAAATGCTGAGTCCAGATCCAAAGCTGTCTTCTGTCCACGAGCACCACAGTCAGGCCTTGAGGGGATCTTCTAGGGAGACAACAGCCCTGTCTCAAAACCGGGTTGCCAGCTCCCATGTACCAGCAGCTGGAATCTGAAGGCATCAGTCTTCATCTTAGGGGATCGCTCTTCCTCAAACCACGAATCTGAACATGCCTCTCTCTTGCTTACAAATGTCTAAGGTCCCCACTGCCTGCTGGAGAGAAAACACACTCCTTTGCTTAGCCCACAATTCTCCATTTCACTTGACCCCTGCCCACCTCTCCAACCTAACTGGCTTACTTCCTAGTCTACTTGAGGCTGCAATCACACTGAGGAACTCACAATTCCAAACATACAAGAGGCTCCCTCTTAACACAGCACTTAGACACGTGCTGTTCCACCTTCTCTCATGCAGTTCCACCTCCCCTCAGACTATCTTTCAGCCTTCTGTCAGCAGTAAAACTTATAAATTGTTTTTAGTAATTTCAATGTAGTTTTCCCTCCTTCAAATAAACATGTCTGCCCTCATGGTTTCGGTAATGGGACTCTTTTCTTGCCTAAGGCTTCTGGTGTTATCATTACCATGTCCACATAACCCCATCTGTTCTCCACTGGGTTCTCACCCCTGGACTCTGAGCTTCTGGAACAGGGTGGACCCTGACTTGTCTCTGAGACTCCAATTTCCATCCAAAGATGCAGCACATAGGAAGTTCCAAGGATCGTGAATCACATGAACAAGTGATATTCTTACTCTCTGCAGACCTGGAAAGCTGGCAGAGTCATTCCATGATGAAACATTTGTAGAGTCATAGGCCTTGTTAGTCTCATCTCCACGGGGACACATGTCAACGCATCATCTTTCATACTATAAATATACAGTCGCTCCTCCGTATCTGTGGGGTTTACAGGTGTTTATTGAACCAAGTATAAATCAAAAATATTCAGAGAAAAAGCCCACAAAGTTCCAAAAAGCAAAACTGTGTTGAATGCACACAAATGAGGTGGTGTATAGGCTGTATCAGGAATTATAAGTAATCAAGAGATGATTTCATGTATACAGGAGGATGTGCATGGGTTATATCCAAATGCTGTGTCATTTTATGTAAGAGGCTTGAGCATCTGCAGATTTTAGTATCTGAGTGGAGATCCTGAAACCAATCACCCATGAATAGTGAAGGATGACGGTATAGGACTTTTATTTCTCAAATTTAAATATAAATCATAAAAAATGTACAATAACTAGATAAAAACTAAGAAGTGTTTTTATAGTGTGAGAATAAGTTTAGATTTATTATTTCCTATGTGTAACCCTTTGGTTTAATATTATTTATTGAGAAGACATTCTATGCCACCTTAAACCACACGGCAGCCTTTGTCAACTAAAAAGGGACTGTGTGTACACGGATGTGTATTTTAGACACTGTCTCTGCTAAACGGCTCTCTGTGTCCACATTCTTGAGGATGCTCCACTTTATGTAGCCCCATAGAACCCTTTAAATTTAGTAGCCAGAGGCCTCTAATTTGTTATTATAGGCTATTTGCTATTTTTATTTTCTTGAGGCGGAGTCTTGCTCTGTCGCCCAGGCTGGACTGCAGTGGTGCAATCTCAGCTCACTGCAACCTCCGCCTCCCAGGTTCAAGCGATTCTCGTGCCTCAGCCTCTTGGGTAGCTGGTGTTACAAGTTCCTGCCACTGGGCACGGCTAATTTTTGGATTTTTAGCAGAGACACGGTTTCACTGTGTTGCCAGGCTGCTCTCAAACTCCTTATATCAGTTGATCCGCCCACCTCGGCTTCCCGACGTGCTGGGGGAAACTTGATTTTCTATAGCATTATGTTACTGGATATTTCTGTGAAATTTAAAATGAGGGAGGGAGAGAGACAGAGAGAGAGCAAACTCCAGAGTTGGGACTCTGGAAACTTGGGTCATGAGACAAATTTTAGATAAATCTACAAAAATCCAGAGTTTAAATGTGTGGTTTTTGCTGATAACGTACAATTCAAAGATTGTAAATAATTGCATAATCCTTCCCTGGGAATTTAAATCATTTTAACTGGTTCTGCTGTAATACTAGAAATACAAGCATGAAAAATTCTAATGGTTTATTAGTCACAATGACTCTGAAAACCTTAATAATACCTATTAGATATTTTGCATATTACACAGGAAGAAGAGTTTGAATCTCAGATAAAAACAATAAAAATACATGAAAAGTCTTTCACGTTAGCACAGATTTTAGGCATCTCGTGTTCAGGAGGTTGGATCTGAGACGTGTTTTGAGTTGGTCATAGTGAAGGACGCTAGGTGTAAATTCTAGTGAGAACAATTTCCAGGAAGCCGTGTTCCGCTCTTGAGCGAGCAACCACTGGGCCTCATGCAAGGTAGAAAGAGCCTGCGTACGTCACCCTCCCATGATGTGGTCAACATGTAAACTGCATGGGCAGGGCGCCAAATAACATCCTGTGCGCTGCTGAGCTGAGCTGGGGCGCGGCCGCCTGTCTGCACCGGCAGCACCATGTCGCTCACGGTCGTCAGCATGGCGTGTGTTGGTGAGTCCTGGAAGGGAATAGAGGAAGGGAGTGTGGGGTTGGAGATCTGGGCCCAGAGGTGGATATATAGGCCTGGAGGTGGAGTTGTGGGCCTGGAGTGGAGATCTGGGCCTGGAGTGGATATATGGGCCTAGAGATGGAGTGATGGGCCTAGAAGTGGAGATCTGGGCCCAGAGGTCGAGATATAGGCCTGGAGGTGGAGTGATGGGACTGTAGTGGAGATCTGGGCCTGGAGTGGAGATAGGAACCTGGAGGGGAGATAGGAACCTGGAGGGGAGATATGGGCCTGGAGGTGGAGATATGGGCCTGGAGTGGAGTCATGGGCCTGGAGGTGGAGTTACGGGCCTGCAGTAGAGATATGGGCCTGAAGTGGAGACATGGGCCTGGAGTGGAGATATGGGCCAGGAGTGGAGATATGGGCCTAGAGGTCGATATCTGGGCCTGGAGTGGAGATATGGGCCAGGAGTGGAGATATGGGCCTAGAGGTCGATATCTGGGCCTGGAGAGGAGATATGTGCCTAGGATGGAGATACGGGCCTGGGTGTGGAGATATGGGACTGGAGAGGATATATGGGCCTGGAGTGGAGATATGGGACTGGAGAGGAGATATGGACCTGGAGTGGAGATAAGGGCCTGGATTGGAGATATGGGCCCAGGGTGGAGATCTGAGCCTGGATTGGAGATATGGGCCTGGATTGGCGATATGGGCTTAGGGTGGAAATATCGGCCTGGAGTGGAGATATGGGCCTGGAGTGGAGATATGGGCTTGAGGTGGGGATATGGACCTGGAGGCTGGGTCTCTGCACAGCCGACAGCCCTGTTCTTGGGTGCAGGTAGGCACTGAGGGTGAGTTTACCTTCAGCCCAGGAAGGGCCTGGCTACCAAGACTCACAGCCCAGTGGGGGCAGCAAGGGTGCCCTGGTTTGCCTGCAGATGGGTCATCCATCATGATCTTTCTTTCCAGGGTTCTTCTTGCTGCAGGGGGCCTGGCCACATGAGGGTGAGTCCTTCTCCAAACCTTCGGGTGTCATCTCCCCACATAAGAGGATTTTCCTGAAATGGGAGGGAAGTCCTGTCAGGGAGTCTCTCATAAACTAGGAAGAAGGGACCCTGGGGTGCTGGGCCCACATTTCTGACCTTGCCTCCCTGGCCTTTCATTCCCTTGGCAGAGTCAAGTTCTGTGGGGACCAGGGTTAGACTACGGTGCTCAAAGCTGGGGTGTGTGGTGGGGAAGTGGTAGGAACAGCAGATCCTCTGAGGACAAAGGTGTTACTCACACACTTCAGCGTTTCCATGACGGTAGGGGCTGCAGTGTGGCTGCTGTCATTCTACCAGAAGAGGTGGGAAAACCACAGCCATGGCCCTGACATTCCAATCCTCTGATGGGGACTCAGTTGTTTATTTTCGTTCAGGCATCGGCTGATATTCCATTCTCAAAGGACATGCCCTCCACCCCATGTCTACCCTGTGTTGTTTTATGTGAGTAATCTTACAGTATTAAAATCTAGTAGGAGTCTCTTACTCAGCACTTGCTCAAAGTTCTCAGCTGACACTTTTGTTGTAGGGAGACACCTTGTGTTTGCGGGATGGGTTCTTCCTTTAGCCCTGGGCACCAAGGTGTGATAGCAGCCATAGAAACTTGGAAAGCGAGGAGAATCTTCAGAGCACAGGGAGGGAGGGGCGGCTCCACATCCTCCTCTCTAAGGCGGTGCCTCCTTCTCCCCACGGTGGTCAGGACAAGCCCTTGCTGTCTGCCTGGCCAAGCCCTGTGGTGCCTCCAGGATATGTGATTCTTCAGTGTCATTCTTATCTTGGGTTTAACAACTTCAGTCTGTAAAAGGAAGATGGGGTGCCTGTCCCTGAGCTCTACAACATAATATTCTGGAACAGCCTTTTCATGGGCCCTGTGACCCCAGCACACGCAGGGACCTATACATGTCGGGGTTCACAACCACACTACCCCAGTGGGTGGTCGGCACCCAGCAACCCCCTGGAGATCACGGTCACAGGTCAGAGGGCTCCTGTCTGGGATTCTCCTTGTCCCACCTCCTGAATCCCAGAGCTCCTGGTGGGCGTGTCCTTGCGGGTCCCATCATGCAAGTCCTGACTGTATTTGGGGTAAAGGGGGATTGAATACAGGGAAATGGGTGCTGTGGTGGGAAGAATAATTGTCCCCAGTGATGACTACATTCTAATCCCTGGAGTCTGTGACTATTTATGATATAGGGGAAGGGACTGAAGGAGAAGATGGAGCTCAGGTTGTTGATGAGTTGACCTTGAGATGGGGAGACAACCTGGACTGTCCTGATGGGCTCAGTGTAGTCACAGGGGTCCACAGGAAAGGAGGAGGAAGAGGGGAGTGGGGATTACAGCAGCATAATGGGAGTCTCCATCAGCTTTGAAGGTGGAGGAAGTCCAGGAGCCATGAATGCAGGTGGCCTATAGAGGCTGGAAAAGTCAAGGAACTGATTCTCCTGAGTCTCCAGAGGGAACGAAGCCCTGCAGGTACCTTGATTTTACCCACGACAAACAGGGTCCGATTTCTGTCTCCAGAATTGGAAGGGGTTAGTGTGCTCTCTCCTGCTGCCATGCTTCTGATAATTTTCTACAGCAGCAACAGGAAACCAACACTGGAACCCAGGTCAAGGACAAGTTAAGAAACAACACAAGGATAGCCAGGCATGGTGGCAGGTGCATGTAATCCTAGCGACTTGGGAGGCTGAGGGCAGGAGAATCACTTGAACCCAGGAGACAGAGGTTGCAGTAAGCCTAGACCACACCACTTCACTCCAGCCTGGGCAAAGGAGTGAGACTCTGTCGCCAAAATTAATTAATTAATTAAAGAAACCAAACAAGGAGAAGGTTGGCTACACTGAGATCAGCAAGGCTCGGATGATGATGCCACCACCAGGCTCCATCCACATAGGGAGCGGTTGATACTCCTCCAACCAGCACCAGGAGCCAGGCTATGGAAGCTGGCACTGGCATGGCAAGAGTGTCTCCCAGTCCCTACCAGGAACAGGGTGTGTGGCCACTGGTGCCTGCCTTACTGATCAGTTCATACCTCCTGCCAAGGATTCCAATTCGTCCAAAAGAGATTGAACCAGGCTGCTAAGAGCCTGGATGTGCAGCCTATCCTGGTTCCTCTTCCACCCCCACACAGACAGCAGGAAAGACATTAGTTCGAAATAGATACAACAGCCCAAGAGATGAGGCTGAGCCCAGCGGCAAGGGAATCAGAGGCTACTAGAGACAGAGGGACAGAGAAGAGTGAGGGAGACAGATGGAAGGACCTGCACCAGGAGTTATGGGCACAGAAAAGAACATGAAGACACAGAGAGGAAGGAGAGAGATAAGACACCAGGAAGGGGAAGCCTGACTCAATCCAGGTGCCATGGATGGGATGATAAAGAGAGACACCTTCTAAACTCACAACCTCTCTTCCTAGGAGTCCACAGAAAACCTTCCCTCCTGGCCCACCCAGGTCGCCTGGTGAAATCAGAAGAGACAGTCATCCTGCAATGTTGGTCAGATGTCATGTTTGAACACTTCCTTCTGCACAGAGAGGGGATGTTTAACGACACTTTGCGCCTCATTGGAGAACACCATGATGGGGTCTCCAAGGCCAACTTCTCCATCAGTCGCATGAAGCAAGACCTGGCAGGGACCTACAGATGCTACGGTTCTGTTACTCACTCCCCCTATCAGTTGTCAGCTCCCAGTGACCCTCTGGACATCGTGATCATAGGTGAGAGTGTCCAGACTTTCTTCTCATTGTCATTGGGATGCAGAGTGAATGATCCAGGACTTGGAGGCCCAGGTGGCTGTAAGGAAGATGAGCTTGGTATTCTTATGGAGAGAGACTGACTTGGTGAGGTCTGTGCCAACAGAGACAGAGAAACAGGAGACACAAGTAGAGACCAGGTGTCATAACAGAGAACAGACACAGGGGCCATACCGGGAGTTTGAAAAGACAGAAAGAGTTAAAGGAAACACACAGACAGACATGTCCCAGAGAGAGGTGTCCCTCCATGCTGACTTTGCTCAGAGACCTGGCACAGGTTAGAAGTTTCATTTCTGTTTTACCTCCACAAAGTGTTCTCTACCAGGAGAACCCAAGGACACCCATATTTCTGACCTGAGTTGGGCCCTGTGGCCTCAGGCCTTGTGGCACCTACAGATGCCATGTTTATTCTGACACCTCTGCCTTCCATGTAATGGAGAGTAATCGTCCCAGGATATCATGGCCCCACAACACCAACCCCTGTATGCTGTGTGAACTTGTAGTCTCCAGACTGGATTCTGAGGCTCATATTCCAAATAAGCCCACTTATGAGAGGATCAGTGAGAGGCACAGAGAGAAATCAGGGACACCAAAAAGCAAAGACATAAACACACAGAGAATGAGCCAGAGGAAGGAGATTGAGAGACTCACAGACACATAAAGAGAAAAGAGGGCAGAGAAGTGAGAATGATGGAAGGGAGCAGAGAAAAGCACTAAAATTAGACTCCTGAGGGAGAGGCACAAGGACATTGAAAGATGGAGATGTGGGGATGAATTGCAGAGATTCCAAAGAGAACTAGAGAGACCGAGAGGCAGAGCAAGACAGATGATAGATGGATAGATATAGATAGATGATAAATAGGTAGATGATAGATAATAGGTTATAGATACATAGATGATGATTGATTGATTCATTAATAGATGAGACATAGAGATGATGATGATGAAGACAGATAGATAGATAATACATAGAGATACAGAGGCAGACATAGAGAAATCATAGAGAGAGAGAGATGATACATAGATATAGATAATAGATGATTGATGGATAGATAGACAATTGATGGATAAATAGATGATATATAGATATAGATGACAGGTAGAGAATTTGTAGATAGGCACCGAATAGATAAATAGATAGATCGATAGATAATAGATAGAAATATGCAGAAAGTTATGAACAGGACACAAAGTGAGAAACTCAGAATTAAAAAAAGTAACATCAAGTCAACCAATCCAAGGAGAGTCAGAGAGAATAAAACAATCCAAAAAGAGAAAACATATCTAGAGGTGGGGAAGTGAGGTCAGAGACCTAAAGAGACAGAGAAGGTGGAAGGAGGAAATAGACATGAAGAGCGATGGGGTAGAGGGTGAGAGAGAGAGAGAGAGAGCATTAGGTCATAGAGCAGGGGAGTGAGTTCTCAGCTCAGGTGAAGGGAGCTGTGACAAGGAAGATCCTCCCTGAGGAAACTGCCTCTTCTCCTTCCAGGTCTATATGAGAAACCTTCTCTCTCAGCCCAGCCGGGCCCCACGGTTCTGGCAGGAGAGAATGTGACCTTGTCCTGCAGCTCCCGGAGCTCCTATGACATGTACCATCTATCCAGGGAAGGGGAGGCCCATGAACGTAGGCTCCCTGCAGGGACCAAGGTCAACGGAACATTCCAGGCCAACTTTCCTCTGGGCCCTGCCACCCATGGAGGGACCTACAGATGCTTCGGCTCTTTCCGTGACTCTCCATACGAGTGGTCAAAGTCAAGTGACCCACTGCTTGTTTCTGTCACAGGTGAGGAAAGCCCATGGCTGTCCCATGTCCTATGATCCTAGAGCCTTAGCTGAGGAGCTTCCTGCTGATGATGGAGAGAAGCATGGACAGATGCAGAGAGAAGACGCAGCCTCGGTGTGAGGGAGGGATCAGGGCACAGGATGGCCGACAGGGCACCTCCAAACCCTCCTACATGGCCTGCATGGAGGCCCACGGCCAGGGCTCCAGGCACCCAGGCAGATGGAGAAAGCGGTCAGGAGAGACCCAGAGGAGGGAGACTGGGCTCAGTTTGGGGAGATCAGAGGTTCCCTCAGCCCCTCAACCTTACCCATTTCCCAGAAGCCCATCCTGGCCTCTCACCCACACAGAGATGTCATCACCAGCAACCCCTACACCCTTTACTTTTCTTTGAAGAAATATTTATTGAGGATAAATATACCTATATAGCTTACCACTTTTAACATTTTTTTTTGAGGTGGAGTCTAGCTGTGTCCCCTATGCTGGAGTGCAGTGGCACAATCTCAGCTCACTGCAACCTCCACCTCCTGGGTTCAAGCGATTCTCCTGCCTCAGCCACCTGAGTAGCTGGTGCTACAGGCACGCACCACCACGCCAGGCTACTTTTTGTATTTTTAGTAGGGAGGTGGTTTCACCATGTTGGTCGAGCTGGTCTCGAACTCCTGACCAAGTGATCCACCCGCATCTGCCTCCCAAAGTGCTGGGATTACAGGCATGGGCCACCGCGCCCAGCCACATTTACCATTTTTAAGTGTAAAGTCTAGTGGTCATAAATACATTTATATACATATATATATATATACATTTTTTTTACCCTCCACCCTTTTCTTCCTGTCCTCCAGTAGCCACCATTCTACTCTCTACCTTCATGAGATCCACCTTTTAGCTCCTGTATATGGGTGAGAAATGGGAATCTTTGTAATGACCTCCAGTTCCATCCATGTGGCTGCAAATGACAGGATGTTATTCTTTCTATGGATGAGTAGTCTCCACTATGCGTATGTACTACATTCTCTCTATCCATTTACCCACTGATGGGCAGGTAGGTTGACTCCTCATCTTGGCTACTGTGAACAGTGCTGCACCAATCATACGAGTGCAGATATCACTTCGATATATTGATTTACTTTCCTTTGGATATAAACCCAGTAGTGAAATTGCTGGATACTATGAAAGTTCTCTTTTTTTCTTTTTTTCTTTTTTGAGAAAGAGTTTCCCTCCTTAGCCCAAGCTGGAGTCAAAGTGGTGCGACCTTGGCTCATTGCAACCTACGCCTCCTGGGTTCAAATGATTTTCCTGCCTCAGCCTCCCTAGTAGCTGGGATTACAGGTGCACACCACCATGCCTGGCTACTTTTTGGTTTTTTTAGTATAGATGGGGTTTCCCCATGTTGGCTGGGCTGCTCTCAAACTCATGACCTCAACTGAGGTGCCCGCCTCAGTCTCCCAAAGTGCCGGGATTACAGGCATGATCCACCGCACCCAACCTCTTTTTAGTTCTTTAAAGGACTTCCATACTTTTCTCCGTAATGGCTGTACTAATTTACACTCCTCCCAACAGGGTACCAGGGTTCTCCTTTCTCTACCACCTTGCCAGCATTTCTTTTGCCTGTCTTGCAGCTAAAAGCCATTTTATTTTATTTCATTTTATTTTGAGATGGAGTTTTGCTCTTCTCACCCAGGCTGGAGTGCAGTGGCGCGATCTCGGCTCACCACAACCTCCACCTCCCAGGTTCAAGCGATTCTCCTGCCTCAGCCTCCCGAGTAGCTGGAATTACAGGCACACGCCACCACGCCCGACTAATTTTTGTATTTTTAGTAGAGACAGTGTTTCTCTATGTGGGTCATACTGGTCTCAAACTCCCGACCTTATGAGATTCACCCACCTCAGGCTCTCAAAGTTCTAGGATGACAAACGTGAGCCACCTCACCCGGCCTAAAAGCCATTTTAATGGGGTGAGATGAAAACTCACTTTGAATTTAATTTGCGTTTCTCTGATGATGAGTGATACTGAGCAGTTTTTCGTATGTGGGGAAATTTCATGTCTTTTGCTCCTTTTTCAATTAAATCATTTGTTTTATTGAGTTGTTTGAGCTTCTTATATTTCTAGTTATTAATCCCATCTCAGATGCATAGTTTGCACATATTTGCTCCCAATCTGTGGGTTGTCTCTTCACTTTGTTGGTTTATTTTTAGCGGTGCAGAAGTTGCTTAGTATGAGGTAATCCCAATGGTCTATTTTTGCTTCGATTACTTGTGTTTTCAAGGTTTAAAACAAAATGTCTTTCTTCAGACAAATGTCCTGGAGCATTTCCCCAATATTTTGTTCTACGTGTTTCATAGGTTCAGGCCTTAGACTCACATCTTTAATCCATTTTCATTTGATTTTTGTGTATGGTGACAGGTAGAGGTGCAGTTTCATTCCTCTGCATGTAGATGTCCAGGTTTCCCTGCACTGTTTATTGAAAAGACTGTCCTTTCCTGATTGTGAGTTCTTGGCATCTTTGTCAAAGTCCATTGGATGGGCTGGGCTTGGTGGCTAACACCTGCAATTTCAGCACTTTGGGAGCCCGAGGTGGGTGGATCACCTGAGGCCAGGAGTTCAAGATTAGTCTGGCCGACGTGATGAAACATCATCTCCACTAAAAATATAAAAATTAGCTGAGCATGGTGGTCAGCACCTGTAATACCACTACTCAGGAGTTTGAGGCAAGAGAATGATTGAACCCAGGAGGCTGAGGTTGCAGTGAACCGAGATTGCACCTTTGCACTCCAGCCTGAGTGACAGAGCAAGACTCCATCTCAAAAGAAAAAATAAAAAACCATTGGATGTAAATGCATGGAATATATCTGTGTTATTCATTCTGCTCCGTTGTTCTATGTGCCTTTCTTTATGCCAGTGTCATGCTATTTTGCTTACTACAGCTCTGTAACATATTTTGAGATCAGGTAGTGTGATGCTCCTGTTTTCTCTTTATACCTTGAAGTCTCAAGACAGTGGGTGTCACATAAAAAAATTATGGAAAAAAGGATCCCAGGACTCCCAGGGCCCAATATTAGATAACAGAGTGTTGGCCATGAACCATCCTCAAAGATTTCCACTGAGTGGAGGACAGAAACCCTCATTTCCTCACCTCTCTCCTGTCTCATGTTCTAGGAAACCCTTCAAATAGTTGGCCTTCACCCACTGAACCAAGCTCCGAAACCGGTGAGTACAGAACCCTCTTATATCCGCTTTTGGAAACCTGGGGAGGTGGAAACCTTGGATTCAGGCGTTGACTCAGCATCTCACAGCTCTGACATTGTACACCTGTCTTCCACCATCTCCGAACTCCAGATACTCCTACAGCGAAAGGGATCTGGGCCCAACACAGGGCTCAGTGAAATCTCTTCATCTCTCATTTTATGGAGCTGAGACCTCCTACAAGCTAGAAGAATGATTGCCAATCTGACATCCTTCTCAGGAAAAATGCAATGTTTGTTCTGCCTGCATTCCTAACTGGAGGATAAATTCCTGGAGACTTGAGAGAGGGAAGGGAAGGGAACATCTGATGAGGGCGAGGTGTTTTAGAGAAGTTCCACTTGCCAAGGAATGAGCTCCTGTAGGTCATGAAGCAACCCTGGCTGACTCAGCAGAGCAAGAGCCTTGCCGTAACAGAGAACAGAGCTCATGCACACACACTTCGACTCACTGACTCATTCAGCCACGGCCCCATGCTCAGGCTGTGCAGTGCGGAACCTTTTCCTATTGTTGCCATAACAAATTTCCACAAGATTCGTGGGTGAAAACAAAACGGTTTTTTAATTATCTTACAGTGCTGTAGCTCAAAGTAGGAAGTGCATCTTACTGGGCTAAAATCAAGGTGACAGCAAGGCTGCCTTCCCTCTGAGGATTCCAGGCACGAATCTGCTTCTCACTTGTCCCAGCTTCTAAAGGCTCCCAGTTCCTTGGCTCCTGGTCCCCTTCCTCCTTCCTCAAAGCCCACAAAGACTGGTCACATCTCACATGGCATCACTCAGTGCCTTCTTCCTTACCACACTTCTTTCTCTGAATGCTGCTCTCCCTTCTTCCTCATCTTTTGAAAACTTGGGGATTCTATTGGGTTCACCAAGATGAAAATCCCTCATAATCTCCTGGAAATCATCCAGGATACCCTTGTTTTAAGTTCAGCTGATTAGTAACCATAATTCCATCTGCAATCTTCATTCCTCCTTTCCATGTAAAATAACATATTCACAAGCTATGGAGGCTAGGACAGGGACATTTTGGGGTGGGACAGCATTCTCCTGCCTTCCACAAACAGTGAACAAGATGCATTTGGCCTCTGCCCTTGGGACACTGATATTGCAGATGGTTAAATGGGAGGGCAGAAAATGAATGCACAAGTGGATCTATAAATGAATGATCCATTGGGAAGCATCTGTGCATGAAATCTATTTTTTGTTTGTTCTTTTGTTTATTGAGACAGAGTTGCCCTCTGTCTTCCAGGCTACAGTGCAGTGTCACGATCTTGGCTCACTGCAACCTGCTTCTCCTGGATTCAAGTGATTCTCCTGCCTCCGCCTCTCGAGTAGCTGGGATTACAGGCAACTGCCACCGTGCCCGGCTAATTCTTTTTGTATATTTTTTGTAGAGAGGATGTTTCACCACGTTGGCCAAGCTTGTCTGAAACTCCCAACCTCAAGTGATCCGACCGTCTCAGCATGCCAAAGTAATGGGACTACAGGCGTGAGCCACTGTGCCCAGCCAGAATTCAAAATCAATAATAGATAATGCTGAGTGTATGATTTCAGGTGACAAAGAAGGTCTCACTATTCAGATATTTGTGACATTAATGAAAAACACGGATTGAACCCCTGAAAGATTGGCGGAAGGATTTTGCACACACAGCTGTCAGCCGTGAAGGCACAAAGGTGAAAACAATCTGATGTGGAAGGAAGAGGCTCTTCCTCAAATGCTGGGAATGAGGTGGGGAGAATGACAAGACGACTGTGGAGAGACGGAGAGCACACTGGGTACACAGGAAACTAAGGAGCAACAAGGAGTGTGTGTTTGACACTCACAGCCATTGGATTCACCTCGGGGTAACCAGGAATCCCTACATGATTAATATGACTGACATGAAAATAAAGGAGGCCCAGGGGCGTAACTGGAATCTAGGAGACCGTGGAAAAGGCAATTCCCGACCCACTGGTGAAATGTGGTGCTGATTTTGACACTAAGTGGATGAAGCAGATGGATATAAGCTATGCTTGTGAGGTAGAATCATTGGCTGGAAAGGCTTGCTGGGTTTGATTTTCCTACTTGTTTAATCCTCGCTTAATTAATTTCTTTCTGAGATTTATTCATCCTACACATAAATCAATACCTGGCAAAGGAGTGACAGATATATGAGGGGTGGTGGAAATGAAGAGACCTATTATAGCGTAATATACAAGTCTGTGAACGGTGGCTCACGCTTGTAACCCAGCACTGCAGGAGGCCAAGGCGGGTGGATTCCATGAAGTCAGGAGTTCCAGACCAGCCTGGCCAACATGGTGAAACCCTATCTGTACTAAAAATACAAAAATTAGCCGAGCATGGTGGTGCATCCCTGTAATCCCAGCTCCTACTCTGGAGGATGAAGCAGGAGAATGACTTCAACCCAGGAGGTGGAGGTTGCAGTGAGTGGAGATTGCATCACTGCACTCCAGCCTGGGTGACACAAGGAGACTCCGTCTCAAAAAATAAAAATAAGAAATGCATAAATATAATAAAACACACACGAATGACAAAGGCACCTGAATTCCAATCATCATTTTTCTATTTCTCTATAATTACTTCTTTGATCCTTTATCTTATCCATTAGGCAATGAGCCTAAAACCTCTTCCCTATTTGGCTTTCTGTGAGCATGAGATCACATAGAAAATGTGAAAGCCCACTGAATCCTCCAGCACGGATCCTGGAATAGAGAAAGTGCTCTGTTCATCGCAAAAAAAAACTTGCCCACTCACCCAAATCCCCCACCTCACCCCTACTTCCAATCACCTGTGGAGATTCAGATAGACCATGGGGAGGAAACATTAATACTCCTTGGAGTGAGTCCAGATCTTGGAATCAGAGATCAGCGACAGCACTAGCTCCTGTTCCCCTTTCCTACTAATTCACAGGAGGACAGGTGGTATTGAAGCAATAGATGGTGGAGGGGGTGGTCCTTCCCCCAGCCTCTCGGGTAGAACAGCAGCCTAACATGTGTCTCCCGAGATCACAAAGAGCAGCACATTTCACACGGGCTTCAACACTATTTTCTGGCTGTTTGACATAAGAGAATCTTGCTTCGCTATTTTTAATCGTGATTTCACCTTTGTTTCCTTTCCTTGGTGAATGCAATTTGTTTGACTCAAGAATGCTGTGGATGTAGAAATCCTAAAGCACATTCGCTGTGTATCAATCCCAGTGCAGTCTTCCCAGAGAAGACTCTAAACAAATCCTGGACTGCACCTGGGCCTATGCCAATTCCTATCACTCACCGTCACTCCAGGGAGACAGAACACACAGAGAATACGTTACATAGGCAGGTTCATTACTAACAGATAAGCAGTGAGTGACAACAGAAGCCTGCATTTCAATGTGAGCCAGTCCCTCAAGGCTCAGAAAAGCTGCTCGGGACATATGGAGTCACCCCATTTGCAGTGTAACTGGGGGAAGCCAGAAAGCAGCCCAGCCTGGGTTTTGTACCCTGGAGCCACAGGAAGCACTCAGCTAAAGCACTGCATGACGTCCTCCTCCAGGAAGAACAGGAAGACAGCCCAGGCTGTTCTGAGACATTCCTCCTGATCTCAGGATGTTGCTATCTTAGTCCATTTTTGTTGCTCTAAAGGAACACTTGAGCCTGGGTAACTTCTAAAGAAAAGAGATTGGTTTGCCTCACAGTTCTGCAGGCTGTACTGGAAGCATGGCACCAGAATCTATTTCTCGTGATGGCCTCAGGCTGCTCCCACTCTGGCAGAAGGGAAGGAGGGTCTGTCTGTGCAGAGACCGCAGAGATCACACGGCAAGAGAGAGAGTAAGGGGGAGAGGGAGCGATGGAGCTTCCAAGCTCTTTTTAACAACCAGCTCTCCAGGAACTAACAGAGGGGGAACTTGCTAACCCCGTCTCCTTGGGACAGCATTGGTCTGTTCATGATGGATCCACCTCCATGACCCAAACACCTCTGAAGAGGCCCAACCTCCCACAATGGGGGTGAAATTTCAATGTGAGGTTTGAAAGGGTCAAACATCTCAACTAAAGTAGTTGTATCCTCAGCACGTTCTATGGTTACTATGAGAGCTATAATTGAGAAAGCAGGGGAAAGCTAGGTCTCCCGCCATTTGGGTGCTTGTCCTAAAGAGACGTTGTATGTGGTTACCTGCCAATCAAGAAATGCGAGACAATTCATAAAGAGGAACTGCTATGATTAGCTTCTTATTGGTGTCTCCTCTTCTTCCAGGTAACCCCAGACACCTACATGTTCTGATTGGGACCTCAGTGGTCAAAATCCCTTTCACCATCCTCCTCTTCTTTCTCCTTCATCGCTGGTGCTCCGACAAAAAAAGTAAGTCTCACGAAGCAGAGGCCAGAGAGCTCAGGGCCATGTGGGGAAGCAGGATGGGAGCACGCGGATGTGTGTTCCTCACCAGCAGGATGGTCCCTGGCCCAAGACAGGAGCCACAGAGGCAGGACTTTCTAGAGAGAGCACCAGATTCCCTTCCCCTGCCTTCAGCTCACAGACCATTGCCTGATTCTGAACTGTATCCTCACGTCCCCTGCAGCCACTCACATCCAGGAGAAGGTTCCATGACAGGCAGAAAGTGGGAGATAGAATCAATGGGATGGGACCTCAGAGCTATTCATGGGATGGGTCCTTGAACTCAGAGAGATAGAATGTCTGAGTCTGCTGTTGGCAACTGAGGGACCTCAGGCACCTATGGCCTCCCCCTGTTTGTTGGTATCTGCTTATGAAATGAGGACCCAGAAGTGCCCTCCGAGCTCTTTTGTTGACTTCCGTCTTCTACAGATGCTGCTGTAATGGACCAAGAGCCTGCAGGGAACAGAACAGTGAACAGCGAGGTAGGTGCTCCTCGGCCCAGCCTCGTGGCTAGTCTTATTCCCAAAGAGTCCTGAAAAATGTGAGCACCCTCCCTCACTCAGCATTTCCCTCTCTCCAGGATTCTGATGAACAAGACCATCAGGAGGTGTCATACGCATAATTGGATCACTGTGTTTTCACACAGAGAAAAATCACTCGCCCTTCTGAGAGGCCCAAGACACCCCCAACAGATACCAGCATGTACATAGAACTTCCAAATGCTGAGCCCAGATCCAAAGTTGTCTTCTGTCCACGAGCACCACAGTCAGGCCTTGAGGGGATCTTCTAGGGAGACAACAGCCCTGTCTCAAAACCGGGTTGCCAGCTCCCATGTACCAGCAGCTGGAATCTGAAGGCATCAGTCTTCATCTTAGGGCATCGCTCTTCCTCACACCACGAATCTGAACATGCCTCTCTCTTGCTTACAAATGTCTAAGGTCCCCACTGCCTGCTGGAGAGAAAACACACTCCTTTGCTTAGCCCACAATTCTCCATTTCACTTGACCCCTGCCCACCTCTCCAACCTAACTGGCTTACTTCCTAGTCTACCTGAGGCTGCAATCACACTGAGGAACTCACAATTCCAAACATACAAGAGGCTGCCTCTTAACACAGCACTTAGACACGTGCTGTTCCACCTCCCTTCAGACTATCTTTCAGCCTTCTGCCAGCAGTAAAACTTATAAATTTTTTAAATAATTTCAATGTAGTTTTCCCGCCTTCAAATAAACATGTCTGCCCTCATGGTTTCGGTAACGAGACTCTTTTCTTGCCTAAGGCTTCCGGTGTTATCATTACCATGTCCACATAACCCCATCTGTTCTCCATTGGGTTCTCAGCCCTGGACTCTGAGCTTCTGGAAGCAGAATGGAGCCTGATTTGTCTCTGAGACTCCAATTTCCATCCAAAGATACAGCACATAGGAGGCTCCAAGGATCGTGAATCACATGAACAAGTGATATTCTTACTCTCTGCAGACCTGGAAAGCTGGCAGAGTCATTCCACGATGAAACATTTGTAGAGTCATAGGCCTTGTTAGCCTCATCTCCACGGGGACACATATCAACATATCATCTTTCATAATATAAATATACAGTCGGTCCTCCATATCTGTGGGGTTTACAGGTGTTTATTGAACCAACAATAAATCAAAAATGTTTTCAGAAAAAAATCCCCGAAGTTTCAAGAAGCAAAAAACTATGTTGAATCGACACAAATTGAGTGGCGTGTAGGCTGTGTCAGGAATTATAAGTAATCAAGAGATGATTTCATGTATACAGGAGGATGTGCATGGGTTCTATGCAATTACTATGCTATTTTTTTTTTTTGAGACAGTCTCACTCTCTCACCCAGGCTGGAGTGCAGTGGCATGATCTCAGCTCACTGCAACCTCCGCCTCCCAGGTTCAAGCGATTGTCTTCCCTCAGCCTCCCCAGTAGCCTCCCCTAGGATTACAGGCACGTGCCACCATGCACAGATAAATTTTTTTGTGTGTGTATTTTTAGTAGAGATGGGGTTTCAGAATGTTGGACCAGCTGGTCTTGAACTCCTGACCTCGTGATCTACCCAACTCAGCCTCCCAAAGTGCTGGGATTACAGGCGTGAGCCACGGTGCCCAGCTTCGCTATGCCATTTCATGCAAGGGGCTTGAGCATCTGCAGATTTTGGTATCTGAATGGGGATCCTGGAACCAATCACCCAGGAATAGTGAAGGACCACAGTATATAATTTTTATTTGTCAATCTTAAAAATAAAGCATAAAAAGTTTACAACAACAAGATAAAAAATAAGAAGTGTTTTTATAGTGTGAGGATAAGTTTAGATTTATTTTTTCCTACGTGTAACCCTATGGTCCTGTGTTATTTATTGAGAAAATATTCTATTCCACCTTAAACTACATGGCAGCCTTTGTCAACTATGAAGGGACTGTGTATCCACAGATGTATTTTAGACACAGTTTTCTGCCCAGTGGTTCTCTGTATCCCCTCTCATGAGGATGCTGCATTTCATATAAACTTATAGAACCCCTTAAAATTTGGTAACCTGAGTTCTCTGATTTGTTATTATAGGTTATTTAGTTTGCTTTTTTTTTTCTTTCTTGAGACAGACTCTTCCTCTGTCACCCAAGCTGGAGTTCAGTGGCTTGAGCTCAGCTCACTGCAGCCTCCGCCTCCCAGGTTCAAGCAATTCTCGTGCCTCAGGTTTAGTACTAGAAACTCATCAGGAAAATTAGAATGGCTTTTTGTCACAATTACTCTGATAATGTTAATAATACCTCTTAGATATTTTGCACATTACACATGAAGAAAAGTTTGAATCTCAGATAAAAACAAAAATACATCAAAAGTCTTTAATGTAAGCACAGAATTCAATCACCTCATGTGTGAGAGGTTGGATCTGAGACGTCTTTTGAGTCTGGTCATAGTGAAGGATGCAAGGTGGCAATTGTAGTCACAACAATTTCCAGGAAGCCATGTTCCGCTCTTGAGCGAGCACCCACTGGGCCTCATGCAAGGTAGAAAGAGCCTGCGTACGTCACCCTCCCATGATGTGGTCAACATGTAAACTGCATGGGCAGGGCGCCAAATAACATCCTGTGCGCTGCTGAGCTGAGCTGGGGCGCGGCCTCCTGTCTGCACCGGCAGCACCATGTCGCTCACTGTCGTCAGCATGGCGTGCGTTGGTGAGTCCTGGAAGGGAATAGAGGGAGGGAGAGTGGGGATGGAGATCTCGGCCTAGAGGTAAAGATATGGGCCTGGAGTGGAGATATGGGCCTGGAGTGGAGATATGGGCCTGGGTGTGGAGATATGGGCCTGGAGGTGTAAATATGGGCCTGGAGTGGAGATATGGGCCTGGAGGGGAGATATGGGCCTGGGTGTGGAGATATGGGCCTGGAGTGGAGATACGGGCCTGGAGTGGAGATATGGGCCTGGAGTGGAGATATGGGCCTGCAGGTGGAGATCTGGGCCTGGAGTGGAGATATGGGCCTGGAGTGGAGATATGGGTCTGATGTGGAGATATGGGCCTGGAGTGGAGATATGGGCCTGGAGTGGAGATATGGGCCTAGAGGGGAGATCTGGGCCTGGAGTGGAGATATGGGTCTGATGTGGAGATATGGGCCTGGAGTGGAGATATGGGTCTGATGTGGAGATATGGGCCTGGAGTGGAGATAGGGGCCTGGAGTGGAGATATGGGCCTGGAGTGGAGATCTGGGCCAGGAAGTGTTGATCTGGGCCTGGAGCCTGGGTCTCTCCACAGCTGAGAGCCCTGTTCTTGGCAGCAGGTAGCAGGGAGGCTAAGTTTACCTTCAGCCCAGCAAGGGCCTGGCTGCCAAGACACACAGTGCAGTGGGGGCAGCAGGGTGCCCTGGTTTGCCTGCAGTTGGATCGTCTATCATGATCTTTCTTTCCAGGGTTCTTCTTGCTGCAGGGGGCCTGGCCACTCATGGGTGAGTCCTTCCCCAAACCTTAGGGTGTCATCTCCCCACATAAGAGGATTTTTCTGAAACAGGAGGGAAGTCCTGTCGGGGAGTCTCTCATAAACTAGGAAGAGGGGACCCTTGGATACTCGGCCCACATTTCTGACCTCGCCCTCCCCGGCCTTTCTTTCCCTTTCCTGAGTCAAGCTCTGTGAAGACTGGGGTGAGACTGGGGTGCTCCAAGCTGGGGTGTGCAGGGAGGAAGTGGTGTCAGCAGCAGAGAAAGAGAGGGAAGCAGTGCTAGGAACAGCAGGTCCTCTGAGGACAAAGGTATAACTGACACCCTCCAGCGTTTCCGTGACGGTAGGGACTGCAGTGTGGCTGCGGTCTTTCTACCAGAAGAGGGGGGAAACCACAGCCATGGCCCTGACATTCCAAATCCTCTGAGGGGGCTCAGTTCATGAATTGGCTGATATTCCATTCACATAGGACATGCCCTCCATGCCGTGTCTACTTTGTGTTGTTTTATGTGAGTAATTTTGCAGTATTAAAATCTAGTAAGAGTCACTTATTCAGCACTTGCTCAAAGTTCTCAGCTGACACTTGTTGTAGGGAGACGCCATGTCTATGTGGGGTGGGTCCTTCCTGTAGCCCTGGGCACCCAGGTGTGGTAGGAGCCTTAGAAAGTGGAAATGGGAGAATCTTCTGAGCACAGGGAGGGAGGGGTGGCTCCACATCCTCCTCTCTAAGGCAGTGCCTCCTTCTCCCCCAGGTGGTCAGGACAAACCCTTCCTGTCTGCCCGGCCCAGCACTGTGGTGCCTCGAGGAGGACACGTGGCTCTTCAGTGTCACTATCGTCGTGGGTTTAACAATTTCATGCTGTACAAAGAAGACAGAAGCCACGTTCCCATCTTCCACGGCAGAATATTCCAGGAGAGCTTCATCATGGGCCCTGTGACCCCAGCACATGCAGGGACCTACAGATGTCGGGGTTCACGCCCACACTCCCTCACTGGGTGGTCGACACCCAGCAACCCCCTGGTGATCATGGTCACAGGTCAGAGGCTTTCTGTCTGGGCTTCTCACTGTCCCACCTCCTGAATCCCAGAGCTTCTGGTGGGGGTGTCCATCAGGGTCCCATCACCCAGGCCCCAACTGTATTTGGGGTCAAGGGGGATTGAATACAGGGGAAATGGGCGCTGTGGTGGGAAGAATAACTGTCGCCAATGATGGCTACATTGTAAACCCTGGAGCCTGTGACTATTTATGTTATAGGGCAGGGGACTGAAGGGGAAGGTGGAGCTCAGGTTGTTGATGAGTTGACCTTGAGATGGGGAGACAGCCTGGACTGTCCTGCTGGGCTCAGTGTAATCACAAGGGTCCGCGTGAGAGGTGGAGGAAGAGGGGAGTGGGGATTAGAGCAGTGTAGTGGGAGGGAGACGCTATCAGCCACTGTGGGCTTTGAAGGTGGAGGAAGGCCACTAGTCACAGAATGCAGGTGGCCTCTAAGGGCTGGAGAAGTCAAGAGAACTGATTCGCTGAGTCTCCAGAGGGAACGCAGCCCTGCAGATGCCTTGATTTCAGCACAGGGAGAACTGGATCCAATTTCTGTCCCCAGAAGTGGAAGGGGTCAGTGTGTTCTCTCCTGCTGCCATGTTTGTGATAATTTTCTGCAGCAGCAACAGGAAACCGACACAGGAACCCAGGTCAAGGACAAGCTAGGAAACCAAACAAGGATAGCCAGGTGTGGTGGTGGGCACGAGTAATCCAACGACTGGGGAGGCTGAGGCAAGAGAATCACTTGAACCGGGGAGGCAGAGGTTGCAGTGAGCCAAGACAACACCACTGCACTCCAGCCTGGGTGAAAAAGTGACTGTCTCAAAAATAAATTAATTAATCAATTAATTAAAGAAACCAAACAAGGAGAAGGTTGGCTACCGTGGGATCAGCAAGGGTGGGATGCTGATGCCACCACCAGGCTCCATCCACATAGGAAGGGGTTGATGCTCCTGGAACCAGCACCAGGGACCACCCTATGGAAGCTGGGGCCATGGAGAAGGCACAGACATGGCAGGAGAGGCTCCCAATCCCCATCAGGAACAGGGTGTGTGGACACTGATGTCTGCCTTACTGATGAGTTGATACCTCTGCCAGAGACTCCAATTTGTTCAAAAGAGATTGATTCAGGCTGCTGAGAGCCTGGACATGCAGCCTGTCCTCTTCCACCCCCACATAGACAGCAGGAAAGAGACTAGTGGGAAAGAGATACAACAGCCCAAGAGATGAGGCTCTCTTCACAGTGGGAAGGGAGTCAGGGGCTACTGGAGACAGAGGGACAGAGAAGAGGGAGGAAGACAAATGGAGGGACCTGCACCAGGGGATATGGGCACAGAAAAGACACGGAGACACAGAGAGGGAGGAGAGAGACAGACCTCTGGGAGGGGAACCCTCACTCATTCCAGGTGCCATGGATGGGATGATAAAGAGAGATGCCTTCTAAACTCACAACTTCTCTTTCTAGGAAACCACAGAAAACCTTCCCTCCTGGCCCACCCAGGGCCCCTGCTGAAATCAGGAGAGACAGTCATCCTGCAATGTTGGTCAGATGTCATGTTTGAGCACTTCTTTCTGCACAGAGAGGGGATCTCTGAGGACCCCTCACGCCTCGTTGGACAGATCCATGATGGGGTCTCCAAGGCCAACTTCTCCATCGGTCCCTTGATGCCTGTCCTTGCAGGAACCTACAGATGTTATGGTTCTGTTCCTCACTCCCCCTATCAGTTGTCAGCTCCCAGTGACCCCCTGGACATCGTGATCACAGGTGAGAGTGTCCAGACATTCTTCTCATTGTCATTGGGACACAGAGTGAATGATCCAGGACTTGGAACCCCCAGGTGGTCATGAGGAAGATAAGCGTGAGATTCTTATGGAGAGAGACTGACTCGGTGAGGTCTGTACCAACAGAGACAGGGAAACAGGAGACATAAGTACAGACCAGGTGTCATAACAGAGGACAGACACAGGGGCCATACGGGGAAGTAGAAAAGAGAGAAAGAGGTAAAGGAGACACTCAGACAGACAGACATGTGCCAGAGAGAAGTGTCCTTCCATGCTGACTTTGCTCAGAGACCTGGCACAGGTTAGAAGTTTCATTTCTGTTTTGTCTCCACAAAGTGCTTCTACGAGGAGAACCCAAGGACACCCATATTTCTGACCTGAGTTGGGCCCTGTGGCCTCAGGCCTTGTGGCATCTACAGATGCCATGTTTATTCTGACACCTCTGCCTTCCATGCAGTGGAGCCATAATTATCCCAGGATATCATGGCCCCAGAACACCAACCCCTAAATACTGTGTGTACTTGGTGTCCCCAGACTAGATTCTGAGGCTCATATTCCAAATAATCCTACATATAATAGGATCACTGAGAGACACAGAGATAAATCAGGGACTTCAAAAAGCAAAGGCATAAACACACAGAGAATGAGCCAGAGGAAGGGGATTGAGAGACTCACAGACACACAAAAAGAAAGAAAAGAGGGCAGAGGAGTGGAGAGAATGCTGGAAGGGAGGAGAGAAAAGCCCCAAAATCAGAACCCTGAGGGAGGGGCACAAAGACAGAGAAAGATAAAGATGTGGGGATGGATTGCAGAGATTCCAAATAGAACTAGAGAGACTGAGAGGCAGAGAAAGACAAGGAGATGGAGAGAGACAGATGATAGATGGATAGATAGATATAGATAGATGATAAATAGGTAGATGATAGATAATGGATAGGTTATAGATACATAGATGATGATTGATAGATGATACATAGAGATGATGATGATGATGATGATGAAGATAGATAGATAGAAGACACATATATAAATATATAGATACATAGATGATACATAGAGACTGACAGGCAGACAGAGAGGTAATAGAGAGAGAGAGAGATGATACATAGATACAGATAATACATAGATGATTGATGGATAGACAGATAGACAATTGATAGATAAATGATACATAGATATAGATGACAGATAATTTGTAGATAGACACAAAATAGATAGATAGATAATAGATAGAAATATGCAGAAAGTTATGAACAAGACAGAAAGTGAGAGACTCAGAATTATAGAAAAAGGAAGATCAAGTCAACCAATCCAAGGAGAGTCAGAGAGAATAAAACAATCCAAAAAGGGAAAGCATACCCAGGGGTGGGGAAGTGAGGTCAGAGACCTAGAGAGACAGAGAAGGCGGAAGGAGGAAATAGACATGAAGAGAGTTGGGGTGGAGGGTGAGAGAGAGAGAGAGCATTAGGTCATAGAGCAGGGGAGTGAGTTCTCAGCTCAGGTATGAGGGGAGCTGTGACAAGGAAGAACCTCCCTGAGGAAACTGCCTCTTCTCCTTCCAGGTCTATATGAGAAACCTTCTCTCTCAGCCCAGCCGGGCCCCACGGTTCAGGCAGGAGAGAACGTGACCTTGTCCTGTAGCTCCTGGAGCTCCTATGACATCTACCATCTGTCCAGGGAAGGGGAGGCCCATGAACGTAGGCTCCGTGCAGTGCCCAAGGTCAACAGAACATTCCAGGCAGACTTTCCTCTGGGCCCTGCCACCCACGGAGGGACCTACAGATGCTTCGGCTCTTTCCGTGCCCTGCCCTGCGTGTGGTCAAACTCAAGTGACCCACTGCTTGTTTCTGTCACAGGTGAGGAAAACCCGTGTCTGTCCCATGTCTTATGATCCTAGAGCCATAGCTGAGGAGCTTCCTGCCGATGATGGGGAGAAGCATGGACAGATGCAGAGAGAACACGAAGACTGGGTGTGAAGGGGGGGTCAGGGTGCAGGATGGCAGACAGGGCACCTCCAAACCCTCTTGCATGGCCTGCATGGAGGCCCATGGTCAGGGCTCCAGGCACCCAGGCAGATGGAGAAAGCGGTCAGGACAGACCCAGAGAAGGGGAGACTGGGCTCAGTTTGGGGAGATCAGAGGTTCCCTCAGCCCCTCAACCTTACCCATTTCCCAGAAGCCCATCCTGGCCTCTCACCCACACAGAGAGATGTCATCACCAGCAACCCCTACACTCTTTTCTTTTCATTTTCAAAAATATTTATTGAGGTTAAATGTAACTATATAATTTACCAACTTTACCATTTTTAAAAGTAAAATCTAGTGGTCATAAATACCTTTATATGCTGGGTGTGGTGGTTCACGGTTGTAATCTTGGCGCTTTGAGAGGCCAAGAAAGGTGGATCATTTAAGATCAGGGACTCGAGATCAGCCTGGCCAACATGCGGGAAATTCATCTTTACTAAACAGACAAGAAAAATTAGCCAAGCATGCCGGCATGCACCTGTAGTCCTAGCTACTTGGGAGGCTGAGGCAGGAGAAGCACTTAAAGCCAGGAGGCAGAGGTTGCACTGAGCCGAGATCATGCCACTGCACTGCAGCCTGGGAGACAGAGAGAGACTCTGTTTCTAAATAAATAAATACATCTATATTCTTTTTTTTGTTACCCTCCACCCTTCCCTTCCTGGCCTCTGGTATCCACCATTCTATTCTCTACCTTCATGAGATCCACCTTTTATCTCCTGCATGTGGTGAGAAATGGGAATCTTTGTAATGACCTCCAGTTCCATCCATGTGGCTGCAAATGACAGGATGTTATTGTTTCTATGGATGAGTAGTCTCCACCGTGTGTGTGTACTACAGTTCTCTATCCATTCACCCACTGATAGGCAGGTAGGTTGACTCCACATCTTGGCTACTGTGAACAGTGCTGGAACAGTCATATGAGTGCAGATATCACTTCGATACACTGATGTCCTTTCCTTTGGATATAAACCCAGTAGTGAAATTGCTGGACACTATGAAAGTTCTCTTTTTTTTTTTTCTTTTTTGAGAAAGAGTTTCCCTCCTTAGTCCAAGCTGGAGTCAAAGTGGTGCGATCTTGGCTCATTGCAACCTCTGCTTCCTAGGTTCAAACGATTCTCCTGACTCAGCCTCCCTAATAGCTGTGATTACAGGTGCACGCCACCATGCCTGACTAATTCTTGTATTTTTTAGCACAGACGGGATATCCCAATTTTGGGCAGGCTGCTCTCAAACTCCTGACCTCAAGTGAGGTGCCTGCCTCGGTTTCCCAAAGTGCTGAAGTTACAGGCATAAGCCACTATGCCCAGCCTCCTTTTAGTTTTTTAAAGTTTTTCCATACTTTTCTCCATAATAGTTGTACTAATTTACATTCCTACCAACAGGGTACCAGGGTTCTCCTTTCTCTACCATCTTGCCAGCATTTGTTTTGCCTGTCTTGCAGATAAAAGCCATTTTACTTTATTTATTTATTTATTTATTTATGTTGAGATGGAGTTTCACTCATAGTCGCCCAGGCTGGAGTGCAAGGGTGTGATCTCGGCTCACTGCAACCTCTGCCTCCCGCGTTCAACTGATTCTCCTGCCTCAGCCTCCAAAGTAGCTGGGATTACAGGCATGTGCCACCACGCCTAGCTAATTTTTGTATGTTTAGTAGAGAGGGAGTTTCTCCATGTTGGTCAGGCTGGTCTCCCGACCTCAGGTGATCCGCCCACCTCCGCCTCCCAAAGTGCTGGAATTACAGGCGTGAGCCACCGGCCTAAAAGGCATTTTAATGGGATGAGATGAAAACTCATCGCGATTGTAATTTACATTTCTGTGATGATGAGTGATGCTGAGCACTTTTTCATATACGTGATCGCCATTTCTATGTTTTGTTTGTGGAGAAATGTCTCCTCATGTCTTTTGCTCGTTTTTTAATTAAATTGTTTTATTGAGTTGTTTGAGCTTCTTATATTTCCAGTTATTAATCCCATCTCAGATGAATAGTTTGCAAATATTTGCTCCTATTTTGTGGGTTGTCTCTTCACTTTGTTGGTTTATCTTTGGTGGTGCAGAAGTTGCTTGGTTTGATGTAATCCTAATGGTCTATTTT
Source organism: Homo sapiens (assembly GCF_000001405.40). Lineage (NCBI taxonomy): Eukaryota > Metazoa > Chordata > Mammalia > Primates > Hominidae > Homo > Homo sapiens. Next base: position 17,335 of record NT_187636.1, on the reverse strand, counting down.
TTGCTTTGATTACTTGTGTTTTGAAGGTTTTAAACAAAATGTCTTTCGTCAGACAAATGTCTTCCCCATTATTTTCTTCTACATGTTTCATAGGTTCAGGCCTTAGACTCATGTTTTTAATCCATTTTCATTTGATTTTTGTGTAAGGTGACAGGTATAGATGCAGTTTTATTCCTCTGCATGTAGATATCCAGTTTTCCCCACACCATTTATTGAAGACTGTCCTTTCTTGATTGTAAGTTCTCGGCACCTTTGTCAAAGTCCATTAAATGGGCTGGGCATGGTGGCTCACACCTGCAATTCCAGCACTTTGGGAGGCCGAGGCGGGTGGATCACCTAAAGCCAGGAGTTCAAGACCAGGCTGGCCAACAGAGTGAAACCTCGTCTCTACTAAAAATACAAAAATTAGCTGAGCATGGTGATCAGTGCCTGTAATACCACTACTCAGGAGTTTGAAGCAAGAGAATTTCTTGAATCCAGGAAGTGGAGGTTGCATTGAGCTGAGATTGCACCTCTACACTCCAGCCTGCATGACAGAGCAAGATTCCATCACACACACACAAAAGAAAGCCATTGGATGTAAATGCATGGATTATATCTGTGTTCTCCATTCTGTTCCATTTTTTATGTGCCTTTCTTTATGCCAATGTCATGCTGTTTTGCTTACTACAGCTCTGTAACATATTTCTAAGTCAGGTAGTGTGATGCTCCTGTTTTCTCTTTATACCTTCAAGTCTCAAGACAGTGGGCATCGCACACAAAAATTATGGAGAAAAGGATCCCAAGACTCCCAGGGTCCAACATTAGATAACAGAGTGTTGGCCATGAACCAACCTCAAAGATTTCCATTGAGTAGAGGACAAGCACCCTCATTTCCTCACATCTCTCCTGTCCCGTGTTCTAGGAAACCCTTCAAGTAGTTGGCCTTCACCCACAGAACCAAGCTCCAAATCTGGTGAGTAAAGGACCCCTCTTATCTCTGCTTTTGGAAACCTGGGGAGGTGGAAGCCTTGGATGCAAGTGTTGGCTCAAACCTCCCAGCTCTGTGAATGAGGGCCTGTCTTCCACCATCTCTGAACTCCAGACACTCCAACAGTGAAAGGGATCTAGGGCCACCAAAGGGCTCAGCGAAGTCTCTTTACCTTTAATTTCCTGCAGGTGAGACCTCCTACAAGCTAGAAGAATAATTGCCAATCTGACATCCTTCTCAGGAAAAATGCAGTGTTTTTTCTGCCTGCATTCCTAACTGGAGGATAAATTCCCGGGGGCTTGAGAGAGGGAAGGGAAGGGAACATCTGATGAGGGTGGGTGTTTTAGAGAAGTTCCACTTGCCAAGGAATGAATTACTGTTGGTCATCAGGCAACCCTGGCTGACTCAGCAGAGCAAGAGCCTTGCCGTAACAGAGAACAGAGCTCATGCACGCACACTTCGACTCACTGACTCATTCAGCCACAGCCCCATGCTCAGGCTGTGCAGTGTGGAAGCTTTTCCTATTGTTGCCATAACAAATTTCCACAAGATTCGTGGGTGAAAACAAAACGGTTATTTAATTATCTTACAGTGCTGTAGCTCAAAGCATGACGTGCATGTCACTGGGCTAAAATCAAGGTGACAGCAAGGCTGCCTTCCCTCTGAGGGTTCCAGGCAAGAATCTGCTTCTCACTTTTCTCAGCTTCTAGAGGCTCCCATGTTCCTTGGCTCCTGGTACCCTTCCTCCTTCCTCAAAGCCCACAAAGACTGGTCACATCTCACATGGCATCACTCAGACCCTTCTTCCTTACCACACCTCTTTCTCTGAATGCTGCTCTCCCTTCTTCCCCTTCTTTTGAAAACTTGGGGATTCTATTGGGTTCACCAAGATGAAAATCCATCATAATCTCCCGGAAATCATCCAGGATACCCTCCTTTTAAGTTCAGCTGACTAGCAACCATAATTCCATCTGCAATCTTCATTCCTCCTTTCATGTAAAATAACATATTCACAAGCTATGGAGGCTAGGACATGGACATTTTTGGGGTGGGACAACATTCTCCTGCCTTCCACAAACAGTGAACAAGATGCATTTGGCCTCTGTTCTTGGGACACTGATCTTGCAGATGGTTAAATGGGAGGGCAGAAAATGTAGGCACAAGGGGACCAATAAATGAATGATCTATTGAGAAGCATCTGTGCATGAAATCTATTTATTTATGTATTTACCTACTTGTTTATTGAGACGGAGCCTTGCTCTGTCGTCCAGGCTAGAGTGCGGTGGCATGATCTCGGCTCACTGCAACCTCCACCTCCTGGGCTGAACGGATCTCCTCCCTCAGCCTCTCCAGTAGCTGGGATTACAGACCACAACCACCACGCCCGGCTAACTCTTTTTGCATATTTTCTGTAGAGAGGATGTTTCACCATGTTGGCCAGGCTGGTCTCAAATTCCCAACCTCAGGTGATCCAATAGCCTCTGCCTCCCAACACGCTGGGATAAGAGGCATGAGCCACGGGGCCAAGCCAAATTTTCAAATCAATAATAGATAATGCTGAGTGTATGATTTCAGGTGACAGAGAAGTTCTCACTAATCAGATATTTGTGACATTAATGAAAAACACGGATTGAACCCCTGAAAGATGGGCGGAAGGATTTTGCACACACAGCTGTCAGCCGTGAAGGCACAAAGGTGAAAATAATCTGATGTTGAAGGAAGAGGCTCTGCCTCAAATGCTGGGAATGACGTGGGGAGAATGACAAGACGACTGTAGAGAGACGGAGAGCACACTGGGTACACAGGAAACTAAGGAGCAACAAGGAGTGTGTGTTTGACACTCACAGCCATTGGACTCACCTCGGGGTAACCAGGAATCCCTACATGATTAATATGACTGACATGAAAATAAGGGAGGCCCAGGTGCGTAACTGGAATCTAGGAGACCGTGGAAAAGGCAATTCCCGCCCCACTGGTGAAATGTGGTGCTGATTTAGACACTAAATGAATGAAGTAGATGGATATAAGATATGTTTGTGAGGTAGAATCATTGGCTGGAAAGGCTTGCTGGGTTTGATTTTTTCCTGGTAGTTTAATCCTCGCTTCACTAACTTATTTCTGAGATTTATTTCTCCTGCATCTAAATCAATACCTGGCAGAGGAGGGAGAGCTAGATGAGGGGTGGTGCAAATGAAGGGACCTAGTATAGCATAATATACAAGGCTGTGAACGGTGGCTCACGCCTGTAACCCAGCACTTCAGGAGGCCAACGCGGGTGGATCACATGAAGTCAGGAGTTCGAGACCAGCCTGGCCAACATGGAGAAACCCTATCTCTACTAAAAATACAAAAATTAAACAGGCATGATGGTGGTGCATGACTGTAATCCCAGCTACTCTGGAGGAGGAAGCAGGAGAATGACTTCAGCCCTGGAGGCAGAGGTTGCAGTGAGTGGAGATCGCGTCACTGCACACCAGCCTGGGCTACACAGGGATACTCTGGCTCAAAAAATAAAAATAAAAAATACATAAATATAATAATATACACAAATGATGCAGGCACCTGAATTCCAATCATCATTTTTCTATTTCTCTATAATTACTTCTTTGATCCTTTATCTTATCCATTAGAAAATCAGCCTAAAACCTCTTCCATATTTGGCTTTCTGTGAACATGAGATCATATGGAAAATATGAAAGCCCCCTGAACCCACCAGCACAGGCCCTGAAATAGGGAAAGTGCTCTGTTCATCACAAGAAACTTGCCCCCTCACCCAAATCCCCCACCTCACCCCTACTTCCAATCACCTGTGGAGATACAGATAGATCATGGGGAGGTAAACGCTAATACTCCTTGGAGTGAGTTCAGATCTTGGAATCAGAGATCAGCACCAGCACTAGCTCCTGCTCCCCTTTCCTACTAATTCACAGGAGGACAGGTGGTTTTGAAGCAATAGATGGTGGAGGGGGTGGTCTTTCCCCCAGCCTCTCAGGTGGAACAGCAGCCTAACATGTGTCTCGCGAGATCACAAAGAGTAGCACGTTTCACATGGGCTTCATCATTATTTCCTGGCTGTTTGACATAAGAGAATTCTACTTTGCTTTTTTGATCTTGATTTCACTTTTGTGTCCTTTTCTTGGAGAATGTAATTTGAGTCAAGAGGGTTGTGGATGTAGAAACTGTAAAGCACATTCACTGTGTATCAATCCCAGTTCAGTCTTTCCAGAGAAGACTCTAAACACCTGCTGTACTGCACCTGGGCCTATGCAAATTTCTATCACTCACCGTCACTCCAGGGAGACAGAACACACAGAGAATACGTTACATAGGCAGGTTCATTACTAACAGATAAGCAGCGAGTGACAACAGAAGCCTACATTTCAATGTGAGCCAGTCCCTCAAGGCTCAGAAAAGCTTCTCGGGACATATGGAGTCACCTCATTTGCAGTGTATCTGGGGGAAGCCAGAAAATAGCCCAGCCTGGGTTTCGTACCCTGAAGCCACAGGAAGCACTCAGCTAAAGCACTGCATGACGTCCTCCTCCAGGAAGAACAGGAAGACAGCACAGGCTGTTCTGAGACGTTCCTCCTGATCTCAGGACGTTGCTGTCTTAGTCCATTTTTGTTGCTATAAAAGAACACTTGAGCCTGGGTTACTTCTTTTTTTTTTTTTTTTTTTGTATAGTGCTTCTGATGAGCTTTTTTTTTAAATTTTTATTATTATTATACTTTAAGTTTTAGGGTACATGTGCACAATGTGCAGGTTAGTTACATATGTATACATGTGCCATGCTGGTGTGCTGCACCCATCAACTCGTCATTTAGCATTAGGTATATCTCCTAATGCTATCCCTCCCCCCTCCCCCCACCCAACAACAGTCCCCAGAGTGTGATGTTCCCCTTCCTGTGTCCATGTGTTCTCATTGTTCAATTCCCACCTATAAGTGAGAACATGCAGTGTTTGGATTTTTGTCCTTGTGATAGTCTACTGAGAATGATGATTTCCAATTTCATCCATGTCCCTGCAAAGGACATGAACTCATCATTTTTTATGGCTGCATAGTATTCCATGGTGTATATGTGCCACATTTTCTTCATCCAGTCTATCATTGTTGGACATTTGGGTTGGTTCCAAGTCTTTGCTATTGTGAATAGTGCCACAATAAACATACGTGTCCATGTGTCTTTATAGCAGCATGATTTATAGTCCTTTGGGTTTATACCCAGTAATGGGATGGCTGGGTCAAATGGTATTTCAAGCTCTAGATCCCTGAGGAATCGCCACACTGACTTCCACAATGGTTGAACTAGTTTACAGTCCCACCAACAGTGTAAAAGTGTTCCTATTTCTCCACATCCTCTCCAGCACCTGTTGTTTCCCGACTTTTTAATGATCGCCATTCTAACTGGTGTGAGATGGTATCTCATTGTGGTTTTGATTTGCATTTCTCTGATGGCCAGTCATGGTGAGCATTTTTTCATGTGTTTTTTGGCTGCATAAATGTCTTCTTTTGAGAAGTGTCTGTTCATGTCCTTTGCCCACTTTTTGATAGGATTGTTTGTTTTTTTCTTGTAAATTTGTTTGAGTTCATTGTAGATTCTGGATATTAGCCCTTTGTCAGATGAGTAGGTTGCGAAAATTTTCTCCCATTTTGTAGGTTGTCTGTTCACTCTGATGGTAGTTTCTTTTGCTGTGCAGAAGCTCTTTAGTTTAATTAGATCCCGTTTGTCAATTTTGGCTTTTGTTGCCGTTGCTTTTGGTGTTTTAGACATGAAGTCCTTGTCCATGCCTATGTCCTGAATGGTAATGCCTAGGTTTTCTTCTAGGGTTTTTATGGTTTTAGGTCTAACGTTTAAGTCTTTAATCCATCTCAAATTAATTTTTGTATAAGGTGTAAGGAAGGGATCCAGTTTCAGCTTTCTACCTATGGCTAGCCAGTTTTCCCAGCACCATTTATTAAATAGGGAATCCTTTCCCCATTGCTTGTTTTTCTCAGGTGTGTCAAAGATCACATAGTTGTAGATATGTGGCATTATTTCTGAGGGCTCTATTCTGTTCCATTGATCTATATCTCTGTTTTGGTACCAGTACCATGCTGTTTTGGTTACTGTAGCCTTGTAGTATAGTTTGAAGTCAGGCAGCATGATGCCTCCAGCTTTGTTCTTTTGGCTTAGGATTGACTTGGCAATGCAGGCTCTTTTTTGATTCCATATGAACTTTAAGGTAGTTTTTTCCAATTCTGTGAAGAAAGTCATTGGTAGCTTGATGGGGATGGCATTGAATCTATAAATTACCTTGGGCAGTATGGCCATTTTCACGATCTTGATTCTTCCTACCCATGAGCATGGAATGTTCTTCCATTTGTTTGTATCCTCTTTTATTTCATTGAGCAGTGGTTTGTAGTTCTCCTTGAAGAGGTCCTTCATATCCCTTGTAAGTTGGATTCCTAGGTATTTTATTCTCTTTGAAGCAATTGTGAATGGGAGTTCACTCATGATTTGGCTCTCTGTTTGTCTGTTATTGGTGTATAAGAATGCTTGTGATTTTTGTACATTGATTCTGTATCCTGAGACTTTGTAGAAGCTGCTTATCAGCTTAAGGAGATTTTGGGCTGAGACAATGGGGTTTTCTAGATATACAATCATGTCATCTGCAAACAGGGACAATTTGACTTCCTCTTTTCCTAATTCAATACCCTTTATTTCCTTCTCCTGCCTAATTGCCCTGGCCAGAACTTCCAACACTATGTTGAATAGGAGTGGTGAAAGAGGGCATCCCTGTCTTGTGCCAGTTTTCAAAGGGAATGCTTCCAGTTTTTGCCCATTCAGTATGATACTGGCTGTGGGTTTGTTATAGATGGCTCTTATTATTTTGAGATACGTCCCATCAATGCCTAATTTATTGAGAGTTTTTAGCATGAAGTGTTGTTGAATTTTGTCAAAGGCCTTTTCTGCATCTATTGAGATAATCGTCCGGTTTTTGTCTTTGGTTCTGTTTATATGATGGATTACATTTATTGATTTGCATATATTGAACCAGCCTTGCATCCCAGAGCCTGGGCAACTTCTAGAGAAAACAGATTTGTTTGCCTCACAGTTCTGCAGGCTGTACTGGAAGCATGGCACCAGCATCTGTTTCCTGTGACGGCCTCAGGCTGCTCCCACTCTGGCAGAAGGGAAGGAGGGTCTGTCTGTGCAGAGACCACAGAGATCACATGGCAAGAGAGGGAGCAAGGGGGAGGGCGAGCGATGGAGCTTCCAAGCTCTTTTTAACAACCAGCCCTCCGGGAACTAATAGAGGGGGAACTTGCTAACCCCATCATGTGGGGCAGCATTAATCTATTCATGATGGATCCACCTCCATGACTCAAACACCTTCCCATAGGCCCAAACTTCCACACTGGGGGTTAAATTTCAATATTTCAGTGTGAGGTTTCAAAGGGTCAAACATCTAAACTAAAGCAGCTGTATCCTCAGCATGTTCTATGGTTTCTATGAGAGCTGTAACTGAGAAAGCAGGAGAAAGCTGGGTCTCCCGCCATCAGGCTGCTTGTCCTAAGGAGATGTTCCATGTGGTTACCTGTCAATCAAGAAATGAGACAATCCATAAAGAGGAACTGCTATGATTAGCTTCTTATTGGATTCCCATCTTCCTCCAGGTATCTGCAGACACCTGCATGTTCTGATTGGGACCTCAGTGGTCATCTTCCTCTTCATCCTCCTCCTCTTCTTTCTCCTTTATCGCTGGTGCTCCAACAAAAAGAGTAAGTCTCACGAAGCAGAGGCCAGAGAGCTCAGGGCCATGTGGGGAAGCAGGATGGGAGCACGCGGGTGTGTGTTCCTCACTGGCAGGATGGTCCCTGGCCCAAGGGAGGAGCCACAGAGGCAGGGCTTTCTAGAGAGAGCACCAGACAACCTGCCCCTGCCTTCAGCTCACAGACCATTGCCTGGTTCTGAACTGTATCCTCACATCCCCTGCAGCCACTGACATCCAGAAGCTTCCATGACAGGCAGAAAGTGGGAGACAGAATCAATGGGATGCCAATTGAGAGCACTTCATGGGATGGGGTCTTGAACTCAGAGAGATAGAATGTCTGAGTCTGGATGTTGGCAGCTGAAGAGCCTCAGGCACCTACAGCCTCCCCCTGTGGGTTGGTGTCTGCCCATGAAATGAGGACCCAGAAGGGCCCTCCAAGCGGTTTTGATGACTTCCGTCTCCTACAGATGCTGCTGTAATGGACCAAGAGCCTGCGGGGGACAGAACAGTGAATAGGCAGGTAGGTCCTCCTCGGCCCAGCCTCACGGATACAGTCTTATCCCTAATAGTCCTGAAAAATGTGAGCACCCTCCCTCACTCAGCATTTCCCTCTCTCCAGGACTCTGATGAACAAGACCCTCAGGAGGTGATGTACGCACAGTTGGATCACTGCGTTTTCATACAGAGAAAAATCAGTCGCCCTTCTCAGAGGCCCAAGACACCCCTAACAGATACCAGCGTGTACACGGAACTTCCAAATGCTGAGCCCAGATCCAAAGTTGTCTCCTGCCCACGAGCACCACAGTCAGGTCTTGAGGGGGTTTTCTAGGGAGACAACAGCCCTGTCTCAAAACCAGGTTGCCAGATCCAATGAACCAGCAGCTGGAATCTGAAGGCATCAGTCTGCATCTTAGGGGATCGCTCTTCCTCACACCACGAATCTGAACATGCCTCTCTCTTGCTTACAAATGCCTAAGGTCGCCACTGCCTGCTGCAGAGAAAACACACTCCTTTGCTTAGCCCACAAGTATCTATTTCACTTGACCCCTGCCCACCTCTCCAACCTAACTGGCTTACTTCCTAGTCCTACTTGAGGCTGCAATCACACTGAGGAACTCACAATTCCAAACATGCAAGAGGCTCCCTCTTAACACGGCACTTACACACTTGCTGTTCCACCTTCCCTCATGCTGTTCCACCTCCCCTCAGACTATCTTTCAGCCTTCTGTCATCAGTAAAATTTATAAATTTTTTTTATAACTTCAGTGTAGCTCTCTCCTCTTCAAATAAACATGTCTGCCCTCATGGTTTCGATAATGTGACTCTTTATTCGCCAAAAGTTTCCAGTGTTATCATTACTATGTCCATATAACCTGATATGTTCTCTACTGGGTTCTCAGCCCTGGACTCTGAGCTTCTGGAAGCAGGGTGGAGCCTCATTTGTCTCTGGGACTCCAATTTCCATCCAAAGATGCAGCACATAGGAGGTTCCAAGGATCGTGAATCACATGAACAAGTGATATTCTTACTCTCTGCAGACCTGGAAAGCTGGCAGAGTCATTCCAAGATGAAACATTTGTAGAGTCATAGGCCTTGTTAGTCTCATCTCCACAGGGACACATGTCAACACATCATCTTTCATACTATAAATATACAGTCGCTCCTCCATATCTGTGGGGTTTACAGGTGTTTATTGAACCAAATATAAATCAAAAATATTCAGAGAAAAAATCCACAAAGTTCCAAAAAGCAAAAATACTATATTGTGTGGACACAAGTGAGGTGGTGTGTAGGCTGTATCAGGAATTATAAGTAATCTAGAGATGATTTCATGTATACAGGAGGATGTGCATGGGTTATATGCAAACGCTGTGCCATTTCATGCAACAGGCTTGAGCATCTGCAGATTTTGGTGTCTGGTAGGGAGGGGGGTTTCCTGGAACCAATCACCCATGAATAGTGAAGGACTACTGTATATAATTTTCATTCATCAATTTTATAAATAAATCATCAAAATGTATGATAATAAGATAAAAAATTAGCAGTGTTTTTATGGTGTGAAAATAAGCTTAGATTTATTTTTTCCTGCTTGTAACCCTCTGGTCCAATGTTATTTACTGAGAAGACATTCTATTCCACCTTAATCCGCATGGCAGCCTCTGTCAACTATAAAAGGACTGTGTGTACACAGATGTATTTTACACACTCTTTTCTGCTCAGTGGCTCTCTGTGTCCACTCTCATGAGGATGCTGCACTTTATGTGGCCTTATAGAACCCCTTAAAATTTGGCAGCCTGAATCCTCTAATTTCTCCTTCCTCTTTAAGATTGCCATTATTATTATTATTGGCTATTTGCTTTTCCATGTAAATTTGTAATCATTTTTCTCATTTCCACCAAAAACAATGCTTGTAATTTTGTTGTGACTCCCTTACATCTACAGGTAAGTTCTGTCCTATAGAAACATAATGCAAACCACATGCATTCTTTCAAACTTGCTAGTATCCAAATTAAAAAGCTAACAAGAAACAGATAAAATTAATTTAAGTTAACCCAATGGACCCAAAATATTATTAACCCAACAGACCCAAAATATTAACCTAATAGATCCAAAATATTATTTTATTATACAAGTAGACTCAAAATATTATCATTTCAACATGTAATCATGTGTCATCTTGGAAAACATCAGATCCCTGTCTAGGTGGGCAAAGATTTTTCTTCGTAATATCTCATTTCCACATTTCCACTTGGCACAGAAACTGCCCCCAAGGCTCAGGATACTAAGATGCAGTAGGAATGGGTAGATGTATCTGGAGGAAAGTGACTGAATGAAATTGAGACATCAGAGTCTGGGGAACTCACTAGAACTACAGGGACAGTGTGGGGGAGGGAATTGGGAGATGTTGATCAAAGGATACAAACTATCAGGTATTCAGGAGGAATGGGTCTGAAGATCTCTTGTACAGCTTTGCCACTATGGTTGACAATACTGTACTCTATACTTGAAATTTACCAGGAAAGTAGATTTTTTTTTTTAAATATGGAACACTTCACGAATTTGCGTGTCATTCTTGCGCAGGGGCCATGCTAGTTTTCTCTGTATCGTTCCAATTTTAGTATATGTGCTGCCGAGGCAAGCATGGGAGAGTAGATTTTTTTTTTTTTTTTTTTTTTGAGCTGGAGTCTTGCTCTGTCACCCAGGCTGGAGTGCAGTGGCGCGATCTCGGCTCACCGCAAGCTCCGCCTCCTGGGTTCACGCCATTCTCCTGCCTCAGCCTCCCGAGTAGCTGGGACTACAGGCGCCCGCCACCACGCCCTGCTAATTTTTTGTATTTTTAGTAGAGACGGGGTTTCACTGTGTTAGCCAGGATGGTCTCGATCTCCTGACCTCGTGATCCGCCTGCCTCGGCCTCCCAAAGTACTGGGATTACAGGCATGAGCCACCACGCCCGGCTGGGAGAGTAGATCTTAAGGGTCCTCACCACAAAAAAAAAAAAAAGAAAGAAAGAAAAAGAAACCATAGGCCGGGCGCGGTGGCTCACGCCTGTAATCCCAGCACTTTGGGAGGCCAAGACGGGCAGATCACTTGAGGTCAGGAGTTCAAGACCAGCATGGCCAACATGGTGAAACCCTGTCTCTACTAAAAATGCAAACATTAGCCAGGCGTGGTGACACAAGCCTGTAATCCCAGCTACTCAGGAGGCTGAGGCACGAGAATTGCTGGAACCTGGGAGCGGAGGTTGCAGTGAGCCAAGATGGCACCACTGCACTCTAGCCTGGGGGACAGAGTAAGACTTCCTCTCAAAAAAAAAAAAAAAAAAAACAATAACCCTGCGAGATGATGGATATAACTAGCTTGACTATGATGATCATGTCACCATGTATACATACATCAAAACATCAAGTGTAATACACCTTAAATATATACAATTTCCATTTGTCAATCATATCTCAATAAAGCTAAAAGAAACCTCTAAGTTTCAACTTTATTTTCAGAAAGCTGTGCCATGCTTACCTCAGTGCCTAAGTATACTCTAATTCATGGAAATGGCCTTTAAAACTGCAGAGAGTGGCTGGGTGCAGTGGCTCACGCCTATAATCCCAGCACTTTGGGAGGCGGAGGTGGGCAGATCACGAGGTCAGGAGTTCGAGATCAGCCTGGCCAACATGGTGAAACTCTGTCTCTACTAAAAATACAAAAAATAGCTGGGCATGGTGGCAGGTGCCTGTAAATCTGAGATACTCAGGAGGCTGAGACAGGAGAATCGTTTGAACTGGGGAGGCAGAGGTTGCAGTGAGCCGAGATCCTGCCATTGCACTCCAGCCTGGGCGACAGGGTGAGACTCCATCTCAAAAAAAAAAAAAATACTGCAGAGAGTTAAGGCCCTCACTGGACACTCTCCGGTACCTCTGAGGTCAGTGGATAGAGAAGCAGCTCCCCTTCTTCTTCCTCGAAACAAAGGCCTCCTTCCTTCTTAGGTGTTTGAGACAAATTCTCCACACAGGTGCAGCTGAGTGCTGTAAAGTCCCACTGAGAGTTGAAGGTCCCCACTGCCAGTCACAGTTCGGTCCCACTGAGGGTTGAAGGTCCCCACTGCCAGTCACAGTTTGGTCCCATTGAGGGTTGAGAGTCTCCACTGCCAGTCACAGTTTGGTCCCATTGAGGGTTGAGAGTCTCCACTGCCAGTCAGTTTGGGCTTATTAGGGTTTATGCTGTGCACGGAGAATGGAACCTACCAATCAACTCTTAGTGACCAGTTAGACAGATTCAAGGCAAATTTCCCTGCTGGGAAATCCCAAATCCCAAAATATGCAGAGACCAATAGATGCCTCAATTCTTCCGTGTCTCCGTCTAAATCCTTGGGTCACTGTGACTCCTGTAGTTATGTGGCTTGTAATTCCTTGGGCCGTAGAATGGCTATGATAGGCCCTGTGCTAAGGGGACTGGTGACAGTTGAGACAGGAACATGGAAGCTATAGTAGTCAGGGTTCTCCAGAAAAAAAAATAATCAACACTAATAATGATAGATATATAGATAATGATTGATAGACAAATAATGATAGATATATAATGATATCACAAATAATGATAGACATATAGTTGGATAATGACAGATATATAATGATTGATACACAGATAGGGTATTTATATATTGGCTTATGCAACTATGTAGACTGACAGGTCCCATGATCTGCCATCTGCAAGCTGGAGACCCAGGGGAGTCCACGTGTAGTTCCAGTCTACGTGCAAAAGTCTGAGAACCAGTAGAGTTAGTGGTATACGTAACAGTCCAAAAGCTAGCAGGCTCATGCCGGGCATGATGGCTCACGCCTGTAATCCCAACACTTTGGGAGACCAAGGCAGGCAGATCACCTGAGGTCAGAGTTCAAGACCAGCCCGGCCAACATGGTGAAACCCCATCTTTACTAAAAATACAAAAATTAGCCGGGCATAGTGGCATTCGCTTGTAATCCCAGCTACTCAGAGGCTGAGGTACGAGAATTGCTTGAACCCAAGAGGTGAAGGTTGCAGTGAGCCGAGATCATGCCACAGCACTCCAGCCTGGGTGACAGAGTGAGACTCTATCTCAAAAAAACAAACAAACAAAAAAAGCTGGCAGGCTTAACATCTAAAGAGTCAATGTTTTAGTGAGAGTTCAAGAGCCAGAAAAGACTGATGTCCAAGCAAAAGGAACTTCATCTTACATTACCAGTTCAATGTTTTGTTCTATTCAGGTCCCACCTGATTGAATGAGGCCGACTCACATTAGGGAGAGCAATCTGCTTTATAAATTACACTAATTCCATTGATAATCTCATTCAGCAACACCCCCACAGACACACACAGAATAATGTTTAACCAAATATCTCAGCACCCCATGGCTACGTTACCATTCCTGTTCCACAAAAGGAGGAAACAAAAGAACAAAACCACACCAAATGTTGTGGTAAGTTGACAAAATCTGTTCCAGCCCATTAGTAAATATTGGCCACTGAAGTTCCTGAAATTCAACAATTAGTAAGTATCTCTCTCCCAATAGAAAGCCACGTCATTTGTAAACCATAACAATAGCTTTTGTTTTTTTGAGACACAGTCTCGCTCTGTGTTGCCCAGGCTGGAGTGCAGTGATCTTGGCTCACTGCAACCTCTGCCTCCTGGGTTCAAGTGGCTCTCCTGCCTCAGCCTTCCGAGTAGCTGGAATTACAGGCACCCGCCACCACACCCAAGTAATTTTTTATATTTTTAGTAGAGACTGGGTTTCACCACATTGACCAGGCTGGTCTTAAATTCCTGAACTCAAGTGATTCACCTGCCTTGGCCTCCCAAAGTGCTGGGATTACAGGCATGAGCTACTGCACCCAGCCAACAATAGTATTTTTAATTAGGTCATCCTGCCTTTACAATCTCTGCATTTTAAATACTCAACTAAGAGTACAGCCATTATTTGTCTTTCACCCAAAGTCCCATTCAAGTGAGAACAAAGGAATGAATAAATAAGGCATAAGTAACAAAACAACAAAAAAAGAAAATTAGAATGCAGTCAATTTCATGCAATCATCAACACCAAATTTCCAGAACGTAGTATTTCCAAATTTCCCGAACGTAAATATGTATGTGGAAATTAACAAAATGTGGCAAAACAAAAGGTCACTTAAATTTGCACAAATGAAACAGTCAACATGGAAGCTGATCGGCTTTCTGAAATATGGGACAAGCTCAGGACTTCAAAATACTTCGGCGTTGGAAGGGCTAAGTTATGATGTATTAAAATGAAAATAAAGTGGGGCGCGGTGGCTCATGCCTGTAATCCCAGCACTTTGGGGGACCGAAGTGGGTGGATCACGAGGTCAGGAGATCGAGACCATCCTGGCTAACACGGTGAAACCCCGTTTCTACTGAAAATACAAAAAAAATTAGCCGGGCGTGGTGGCGGGTGCCTGTAGTCCCAGCTACTCGGGAGGCTGAGGCAGGAGAATAGCATGAACCCGGGAAGTGGAGCTTGCAGTGAGCTGAGATCACGCCACTGCACTCCAGCCTGGGCGACAGAGCAAGACTCCGTCTCAAAAAAAAAAAAAGAATAAATAAAATAAAATAAAATAGTAGAAGGTTTAATTAGGAATATTTCACTCTCCATACCTGAAGAATTCGTGATAGCCAGGAGTCTACAATCAAAATAACATAAATAATAAGATAAAAATAAAATTAATTTGAAGCCATAAAAAAAGAATGAGTTCATATGTTTTGTGGAAACATGGATGGAGCTGGAGGCCATTATCCTTAGCAAACTATACAAGAACAGAACACCAAATACAGCAGGTTCTCACTTATAAGTGGAAGCTAAATAATAGAACTCATGAACACAAAAAAGGGAAAAACAGACAATGGGGTCTCCTTTAGGGTGGAGGGTGGGAGGCGGGAAAGGAGCAGGAAAAGTAACTATTAGGTACCAAGCTTATTACCTAGGTGATGAAATAATCTGTACAACAAACCCCCATGACACAAGTTTACCTGTATAACAAACCTTCCCATGTACCCTTGAACCTAAAATAAAAGTTAAAAAAATACTCAATGAGCAACAATGTACATTATTTGAGGATAATTATATTAAAAGCCCAGACTTCACCACTACACAAAATATCCACGTAATAAAATTTCACTTGCGCTCCTTAAATTTATACAAATAAACAAAAAAGTATAATAAAATAGTAGATTCTTTCTTTAGAGATGACAAATAGTGCCAGAGAAAATGCCTCCACACTCTGGCATTGAGATCATCTCCAGGATAAGGGTATACTGCATGCCTGGTCAAGTCCAAGTAAATATACTCAGACCATGAATCTCAGAGATGAAACATAGGTTCAGAACAGACAAAGCCACAGAGCTTTTGACTAATGGCCCAGTGAAGGCAATGTCTGCCTGTATGGTATCCACCACCTTATATTCTGTCCCAAGCCCGTCTATTTGGATGTAGCATCTGGTTCAAAGATGAATTTGAACACCATTAGACACTGGCTTAATGAAAATTCACTTCTCATTCATTTCTCATCTGAAACATAAATAGAAATACAGGTCTTAGGCAGGAGGATTTCTTGATGCCAGAAGTTAGAGACTACCCTGGCCAACATAGAAAGACCCCATCTCTATTTAAAAAAATATACATATATATGTCTTCTCTTGGGCTCCACCCAAGAGCAACCTGGAACTAAGTTATTCGGCAACGAACTGTTCCACTTTGCTGTGAGGCAATAGATGTGGAAATTCCCTGACGAGGGGCTCTGTCCTCATACTTCCTGCGGAGCTTATTGTCGTAAGAATATCTGTCATCCTGCTAATGTGCATTGAAAGGAGAGCAACGGGGCTGAGGCCGTGTCAGCACGATGGACCCCAAACAGACCACCCTCCTGTGTCTTGGTGAGTTTCAGAGTAAAAGTGGGTTAGAGGGGAAGATAGAGAAATCCCAAAATAATCAGGGTGTCTCTTAACAGTGTGACTAGGAGATTTTAGTGGCTGCCAAGGAGATTCTGATCTCCTTAGTGGAAAGGCCGTCTTTGTCAATGTATCTATAACTTTGTCTCTACCCAAGCCCAAGCTAGCTTGTGGGGCTCAAGGTTTAATATTTGTATTAAACCTATAGTGTGTTATCTGGGATTCATGATGGTCCCAAGGTTCTTATCAAGGAGAGACTTAGAGGCTGGAATCTGAAAGGTAAAAATAAAGAATGAACCTCAAAACTGTGATTGTTGTGGAAGGAAAACATATGATAGAACCCCATATAGAAATATGGTTACTAGTATTTTGTTGAAGATTTTTGCATTTATGTTCAACAAAGATATTATCCAGAAGTTTTCTGTTTTTGTTGTATCTCTGCCACATTTTGTTATCAGGATAATGTTGGCCTCATAGAATGAGTTGGGGAGGAGTCCCTCCTCCAGGATTTTTTTCAATAGTTTCAGTAGGAATAATACTAGCTCTTCTTGGCCGGGCGCAGTGGCTCACACCTGCAATCCCAGCACTTTGGGAGGCCAAGGCAGGCGGATCACAAGGTCAGGAGATCAAAACCATCCTGGCCAACATGGTGAAACCCTGTCTCTACTAAAAATACAAAAAAATTAGCCAGGCGTGGTGGCGGGCGCCTGTAGTCCCAGCTACTCGTGCGGCTGAGGCAGGAGAATGGCATGAACCTGGGAGGCAGAGCTTGCAGTGAGCCAAGATCATGCCACTGCACTCCAGCTTGGGCGACACAGCGAGACTCTGTGTCAAAAAAAAAAAAAAATGCCAGCTCTTCTTTATATATCTGGTGGGATTGAGCTGTGAATCCATCTGGTACTGGTCTTTTTCTGGTCTGTCATTACAGAGGGTGATTTGTCGTAAAGGTTGGAAATGGAAGCTTGATTTTTCATAAATCTCTCTCTTCCAGTGCTCTGTCTGGGCCAGAGGATTCAGGCACAGGAAGGTAAGTGTCCTGTAAATCTCTCCCAGCCCCTTTAGACCCTCTTGGGAGCTCTAGGATAAAGAAATTGAGGAATAGCCTGAAGCACCATTCTTATTTTAGTCCCCATTCTAGTTGTTTCTGCTGTGCTTCTCTTGCATAATTTCTATCTCAGT